>NC_000004.12:85436532-85588047 GCF_000001405.40 Homo sapiens | reverse complement strand
CCTTCCTTCTCTTTGCATGACAGTCTTCTTTCTTCTTTAGATCTCAATTTAAATGTGACCTTCCCTTCCTTTCTGTCTAAATAGGCCCTACTATCATGACCACCACTGCACCAGTATTGTCTGTCTAGTTCTCTATTTTCCTCATAGTAGGTTACTTTCCTTACTTGTTAAATGGCTGTCTCCCCCATCATAATCGAGCTTCACAAGAGCAGTGACTTGTTTTAGATCAAGCATACCTGGGATATATCACATGCATAAATCTATTCATGAATAAATGCAGAAGGAAAGAAGGATGGAAGGAATGAAGAAGAAAGGAAGCCAAGAGTCCTAGTCTATCAAGTCCAAGGGATTGATGGAACTGCACTTATTTCATTTATTAAAACACGGCATGATTAGACCACTATTTGTCAATTTGACTAAAGTGTATACTTCTAAAGAAAAAAACTCACTGGCTGTAAAAGTCAAGTTAAATATTTTTATGGTAATAAAATAATATATCAACATAAGCCCCCCACCCAAATTCACAAGCCTATACTGAACAAACTAAAATACTAATAAAATTTAAACATCATTACATGTTAAAATCAACATTCATGTGATCTGCTAGATGATGCTTTTTTCTTTTAAAAGGATGATCACACACAACATGAAGTAACTACTAACTATTATAGCACAGGGGCAACTGAAGCCACAACTTATCTCTATTCTAACTACTGGGGAACTTTTGTTCAGACAGTACTGTAATGGCGACATCATTCGGCCTTCTCTTTATGAGAATGTAATATTTCTCTGTATTAATTTACCTCTGTTCTGTTGGGTCAATTAAGGAATACCACTTGGGGTCAATGTGATTAGAAAGACAAACTAAACATGACTATTAATAACACAAGGCACTGTTTGACTACATAAAAGTAACATAGATACTTATAGAAGTTTCTATGAGTACTTTTTAAAATTCCAATAGAGAATTCATCAATCTACCATTTTGAGAAAAGAGAACACATATTGGGTTGTGGCCTATTCTTTAGTTACAGTGCTTATAGCAGAAGACCTGGCTTTGAAACTCTGCTAAAAATATAAGCAATTTTAAGGTATTATGTGAATTAAGCAATTTTCAACTTTATTTTTATTTATTTATTTATTTATTTTTGAGAGGGAGTCTTGCTCTGTTGCCCAGGCTGGAGTGCAGTGGAGCAATGTCGGTTCACCGCAACATCCACCTCCCAGGTTCAAGCGATTCTCCTGCCTCAGCCTCTCAAGTAGCTGGGACTACAGGAACGTGCCACCATGCCTGGCTAATTTTTGTATTTTTAGTAGAGATGGGGTTTCACCATATTGGCCAGGCTGGTCTCCAGCTCCTGACCTTGTGATTCACCCGCCTCAGCCTTCCAAAGTGCTGGGATTACAGGTGTGAGCCACCACGCCCGGCCCAATTCTCAACTTTATTAAGCCTGAGAATCCCTTATACGAATTATAATCTTCTCTGACCCTCAGCTTCCTTTTCTATCAAATGATAGATGTAACATCGTAGATATTCAAGCTTCATTCTGTTTGAAATATAGGGATTAGCATACCACCAAAATAGTATTATGATTGAATATCTGAGTCTCTTATTCAACCAATCACATGTCACCATGAAACTGTATTCACAGGTAGTAAAACAAGCTCCCAAACACTTTATTATTGATGCAGGCTTTGGGCCAAAGCTGCTTCGTAGATCTCTGGTAAGAAAGTATGAACAAAGATTCCTTTTCCCTATGCATGCTAAGTGTATGTGGTCTTGAATCACAGAATCTTACTTACTCTATTTCAACCCAAATCCCAAATCCAAGTCTCCATTCTTACCACTCCACTGGGATGTAATGCCTCACCATAGCAATTGGCTAAAAGAATATGAGCAAGAACAAGAAAGAGAGGGGGGAAAAAAAGAAAGAGCGATAACAAGAGGCATCCACTTGACCTTCCCAGAGTGGGGCAAATGCTCCTGCAATCATTTTCTGAGAGAGAGAATGGAGAAAAATAGTTAAAAATCAAGGGAGATGCTGATATACAAAAAAGGACTAGAAAATTGGAGGGATTCCAGGAGTCAGAAATTGTTGCTCCAATGAGAGATCTGGACCAAGTATTTTATACATGTGACCACGAACCAACTAGATGCAAAGGATAAAGAGATAATTGGCACTTTTCCCTTCTGGATAGTAGTCCCTGGGGAACCAAAGGTAGGAAAAAGAGACTAATGTCTCAGCATGCTCCAGACTGGACTTTTAATACATTACTGTAAGCCACCAGTAAAACAGTGACTAGTGAAAAAGCTCTGAAGCCTAACTTACAAAAGCAGACTTTCCTTTCCTTGGAGATGGAATAAGGAAAATGAAAGCAAGAACGAACATCTTCCATCTACTCAATTCCATGAAATTATAAAAATTATTTTATTCTTTGACAGAAATGTCCAAAATCTATTCTTCAACATCATCACATCAACAGGTATTCAAGTCCCATAGCCATTTTGTTATAACCCTTAAATGGAAATAGAGTTAAGAAGAGTACCTCTCCCACAGATTCCCCCAGGTTTCTCTCTAGGACTTAAAACACCAGAGGTGGATTCAACAGGATTCCACAAAAGTGAGTGGTGAGTGCCAGAGGCAGGCTTGATAGCCACACTCTTCTCAGTTCTCTGTCCCATGCCCAAGAAGACAGTCCATGGCACATTTCCTGATTAGCCATTTCCATTTTATGTACCATAATTTAGTCACAATCATCAGCTACTGCTCTGAATCACTTTTGTCTTGTGTCAAAAACAGAAGGAATACATCTGCTTTTGTTAACAAATCTTTTTCATTGTATGAGTTGATAAAGGCAGGTAGAAACAAAACTCAGGTTTATATTGCATGGCATTGATGGATCAGAGTGATGTAATGTGAAACAACTAAAAGTGGGAACCACCTGCAAATGCCCATAGAGCTAAAAGAGGCTATTTCATGAATTATTGCAAAAAAAATGAGGATTAGATATAAGTAGATGGGTTTTAGCAAGCTCTACAATTCATCTTGCATACACACTCTTTGAGTATTCTTAGTAAACAACCAAGCATGGTCTACAGAAGGCCAATATGCCTTCTCCTAGGACCTCTAAGCAAAACTTAAGAGTTATTAACATAATTACTAGAACCCCCAGGATGCCTCTAAATTGTCATGATTTCAAAGAGGATAGGGTTCTTCAGCAGGGATATGACAAGCTGTATTCTTATTTATTAAAGTAGGAATGAAGTTCCTTCTTTTTTCTCCCTGATAAAAAAATGTAGTAAAAACACCTTTTGGCACTAGTTTGGATCCTGCCCATATCTACAGAATATTTATTTTTTCCTTCCTGGACTTATTTTTATACCTATATTTTTCACTGTATGCCTCGTTTTGCCAATTGCTAGCCTTGGGATATAGATTTTTTTCTTTTATTATTATTATACTTTAAGTTTTAGGGTACATGTGCACAATGTGCAGGTTAGTTACATATGTATACATGTGTCATGCTGGTGTGCTGCACCCATTAACTCGTCATTTAGCATTAGGTATATCTCCTAATGCTATCCCTCCCCCCTCCCCCAACCCCACAACAGTCCTCAGAGTGGGATGTTCCCCTTCCTGTGTCCATGTGTTCTCATTGTTCAATTTGCATCTATGAGTGAGAACATGTGGTGTTTGGTTTTTTGTCCTTGTGATAGTTTACTGAGAATGATGATTTCCAATTTCATCCATGTCCCTACAAAGGACATGAACTCATCATTTTTTGTGGCTGCATAGTATTCCATGGTGTATATGTGCCACATTTCTTAATCCAGTCTATCATTGTTGGACATCTGGGTTGGTTCCAAGTCTTTGCTATTGTGAATAGTGCCACAATAAACATACGTGTGCATGTGTCTTTATAGCAGCATGATTTATAGTCCTTTGGGTATATACCCAGTAATGGGATGGCTGGGTCAAATGGTATTTCTAGTTCTAGATCCCTGAGGAATCGCCACACTGACTTCCACAATGGTTGAACTAGTTTACGGTCCCACCAACAGTGTCAAAGTGTTCCTATTTCTGCACATCCTCTCCAGCACCTGTTGTTTCCTGACTTTTTAACGATTGCCATTCTAACTGGTGTGAGATGGTATCTCATTGTGGTTTTGATTTGCATTTCTCTGATGGCCAGTGATGGTGAGCATTTTTTCATGTGTTTTTTGGCTGCATAAATGTCTTCTTTTGAGAAGTGTCTATTCATGTCCTTTGCCCACTTTTTGATGGGGTTTTTTTTTTTTTCTTGTAAATTTGTTTGAGTTCATTGTAGATTCTGGATATTAGCCCTTTGTCAGATGAGTAGGTTGCGAAAATTTTCTCCCATTTTGTAGGATGCCTGTTCACTCTGATGGTAGTTTCTTTTGCTGTGCAGAAGCTCTTTAGTTTAATTAGATCCCATTTGTCAATTTTGTCTTTTGTTGCCACTGCTTTAGGTGTTTTAGACATGAAGTCCTTGCCCATGCCTATGTCCTGAATGGTAATGCCTAGGTTTTCTTCTAGGGTTTTTATGGTTTTAGGTCTAACGTTTAAGTCTTTAAAGGATACAGATTTTTTAACCCTTCTGAAGTTCTGTCTCTTGATCTATTAAAAAACATCTAATGAATAAAGTGTTGTGAGAATTAATAGAATAATAATATAAATAGAGTACTGAACACATAAGACATAACAGTTCATAATAAACATTTACCCTTTTTCATCTTCCTGGAAAGCCACAATAGAGTGAAGGATTACTTATTAAAATACATCTTTAATTTTTATTAGCTAAACCATCTTTAATTGTCACTCTAAGAAAATATTTGAAACTGAGGAATAGTTTGAGTTAGTTACACTAGACAAGAAAACTTGTTATTTTAATTTCTGAGCTCAGTAATATTGCTAATGCATTTTACTAGAAAAAATCAAAAATTTTCAAATTTTTTGACAGACATCAAAACAGGAAAGCTAGAAGAGTATCAGCTGTGTGGAATGCAACATAATGTAAGTCCCCAGGGAAGCACCGCACAACTCCTGTTTCTCAATCCAGAATATTAAAGGAAACAACAGGTCAGAAACAAAAGTGCAGTTTCCGACCAGCCACATAAAGTAATCAGAGACACATAAACTTGGAAAGACAACAAATATTGCTTCTTAAATTATTACTTCTAAGATAAAATCAAATTATATAATTTGAAATAGCTTAGTGAAAAATATGTTGAAACTTTTCAATTCAGACCATTACCTGAGATCCATAAATGTTTTTGCAGGTTTTTTTCCCCCGGTAATACTAGGTTGTGTAATAGTAAGAGTTGAACGATTAAAGTATCTGACATTTAAATCAACCCCATTGTACACTTTTTGGATATTGACATAAAGAGTGTTACAGTCTCTGTAGGCATATCTTTGTAAACATAATTCATTGAAAAATGAATTACTCATACAATTTCAAGCAGTAAACTACAGTCTAATGTTTTAAAAATCCAGCCAAGTTTTCTATCTCATGCGTTTTGTATCTCATAATTTTGGATGGAAAGGGCTTTAAAGGGAGCAGTCTGATTGTCCATATCTTTAAAATATTCTCAAGCAGTTTAAAGAGTCAAAAACGGAGATAACATCTTAAATAAACACTATATTTATCAAAATTGCATGTAAAATGATGATTCTTTAAAGAGTCATTTTTGAAAATGTATTTTAGATAAGCCATAGTGTCATTATTTGTGGTAATGACTAAAACTGGCTTCAAGATTTTTACTTCAATATTCAAAATTCAGGCTAAGATAGAAAACAGAATATTTACAAATCTTCTCATAGGTTGAAAATGGAATTACTGCTCATTTTCCCATAGGATACTCTAAAGATCGAGTGTCTCATTTCCAAAATATCTTTGGATATTGCAATGCAAATTTCATAGGCAAATTCAATGACTTGGGAAACAAAGTATTAGCTCATTGAAAGAATTATGATAACTTAATTTTTAAAAAGCAGGAACTTTTGTGGGGCTACACAAAACTTCTAGAAACCTGGGATTAAATAACAACTCTGAAGCCATCAGCTTCTTCTCTTCATTTGATAGAGGAAGTACAGAAAGAAGGGACTAATACAAGGTAACGCAACTCATTAATAGAAGAATAAAGTCCATAACCCAAAAGTACCTTTGGCTTATTTACCACCACATGTATTTTATATATGTATAAAACAGAAATTGACAGGTAGAAAATCTCCTTTAAAATCTAGAGAAAATGTAACTGTTAAATACTGGAATTTAAAAAAAACTAGGAAAAGTTTCAAAATAGACACAGAAATTTAGCACTGAAAAACTGTTCAAAAATTGTACTAGAATCTTACTGCTAATGTTTTCTGCCTTCCCTGGAGAAGATTATGAATGTTAAAAAACACAGTTAAGTTAGAGCTACGTTGGTTTATTCAAATAATCAATGCACCCTTCAAGCAAGGCCAGTACTACAGCATTTACAACTCATGTCTAAGTCAGTGAGCTCTTATCCATAGATTCAATTCTTTATCTTAAATTTTCTCAGGATTGGCCACAAAGTAGAACAAGTTTATCTGCACTATTTTATTTCTAAACATGAGTGAAGAATTACATATTATTTAAGCATCTGTAATCCCATATCTAGAAAAACATGTTTAAGTAGAAATTCAGGTTCACAAAGATGAGTTAAGGATTCTGCTAATAAATAGAATTGATTCTATTAATCTTTTCTAACTACGTGACATGAACATAAACAATAAGTCAGAAGAGAAATAATTTATCATAAGTTAAAATATATGTAATGCTTATTATGCTATATTTTAGTACTTTAATATTTTAAAATATTAAAATCATATTTGTGTATATGGCAAGGTACCTAGCTCATAAGCAGTATAGAATATTATTTCAAGTTAATAATCATAAGAAATCAGAAACAGGAAGGATTTTTACAATTGTGGAAAAATTCTTTGATGAGAAAATATTAGTTCCACTTATCTGGGACAATAAAAAGTAGGTACATTTGATTTATAAGCTGTAGTTTCAAAAATATAAGAGTATAACATAGGTTTTTGTAATGAGATGTTAAATAGGAATTATTCTATTGTCTCTGACAGGTTGCTGGAATCTAAAAGCTAAAATGAAGAGGTACTAAGTGCCTTACTCTTCTACGAGACAACAGAACAACAGAATAGAACCAAACCCAGTCAGATACGATCACTGTGGCCAGAACCACTATCTGTCCTCCCCTTCCGGCTACAGGCAAAACATCTGAAAGGAGAGTCCATAACTCCCTTGAGTCAAGGAAGATAAAACTCCAGCAGTCACTGGCTACTGGAGAGACTGGGAGTTCTTGCCTCAGTTTGTCACGTGCTGAGGCTGCTTTGCACTTATCCTTGAGTAATAGACAAAAGAACTGGAAAAAGTTCGTAGAGCAAAGAAAATTTTGGGGCCATGTGGAGGGGCCTGCAATACCATATTTGTCATGGCAACCATGTATGGATTTCTAGTGAGTTCATGTGAAATAATGAAAAGTGGGTCCCCAGGTGATAGGACTTTAGCAAGAAGCTGTGGGGTGTACTGCCAATTCTGAGAGCTGAAAGGTGAAGAAAAAGGACAAGATAGGTTATTTTTGTCATATTTAACATCTGGGAAGTCGAGATGGTCATCAACAGCCACAAATTAGCCAGAAAGGCAGAAACAACCAATATGGACATGTAGTCCCCAACAGCAATAGGCTCTTAGGCAGAGATTCATTTGTCTTTGCTCACCTGTTCTCACCAGTTCTCAGTAACAGAGACTTCAAAGACAAGGAAAGATTATCCAGCTCATGGTTTCTCTGCCTAGGTCTCTCTCTCTCTCTCTCTCTCTCCATCACCCTCCCCCCCCACCACACACACAAACACATACACAGGGTGTGGAGGGACGCAGATGAGATTTAAACCAAGTGTGAGGCTTGAGTTTTAAATTAGATTGAAATTGAATAAAAATGATCGGCATAGTTCCTCAAAAGGTTAAACATACAGTTACCATATGACACAGTCACTCCACTCCTAGGTGTATGCTCAAGAGAAATGAAAACATATGGCTACAAAAACACTTGTAAATGAATATTCAGAGCAGCATTATTTATAATAACCAAAAAGTGTAAACAACCCATATGTCCATCAACCGACAAATGGATTTTAAAAAGTGTTATATTAATACAATGGAATATTTTTCAACAAAAGAAGAAACAAAGTACTGATAGCATGTTACAACATGAATGAACCTGGAAAATATTATGCTAAAAGAAAAAAGCCAAATTTCAGAAAGTGAGAACACTAATTTTTGTATCTGGATTGCTTCCTTGTACATAAAAAGTGATCAAAACACTCTAAAATTGTAATTTCATAGTTTATAATTGATAAATAGTCACCAAATGAATGAACATATGGTGACAGCTCTAAAAAACGAGAAGCAGCTGGATTTAGGCAAGATAAAGCTAAAGAAGAGAAGACATGAAAATTGAATAGCAAAAAAAAAAAAAAAACCTAAAAGAGAACAAGTAACAAATGGCTATGAAATATTTAATATATCAAGGGCAAAAAAATAGGCTTTTAAAACACATTGCTGTAAACACCAAAAATGTAAATATTCAAATTATATTTTTACTCATTTGTTTTTTCCCCTAAAGTTTCTTCTCCTCTAGTTGGTATAATGGAAATTTTCCTGAGTTTGTGCACATGAGATAGTCTGAATATGGACTACCTGGTTCCATATATTGAATTGCATCACAAATACAAAAGCCTTCAGTTAATAAGAGTAGATGTGAGAATAGAACTCAAGGAATTCAACTCCAATAGTTCTCCCTTCAACTGGTGCTGAGAAACCAGAAAACCAGTGCTGTCTCTGGGGTAGCCGGTTTTGCAAAGAGAATTCTTCAAGTCTCCTTGGCTGTCATCATAACCATTTTGATAAACTCTGAAGGAGCCCAGAAAAGTAATGTAAACAAAGAGAAAAGACATACTACAAAGGAGAGTATTGTTCTGAAATCTTTCCATGTAATAAGTTCAATGTTTGACAGCATAGGTGACAAGTGAAAACAAGTTATTTTCTGCTCTGAAGTTAGCATGACCAACGAAAAGCACCTCCCTGTAAATCTTACATGGGCTGATCATCTATTATTCCCTTCATTATACAATTAATAAAGTATATATTATAGATCTTAACTTCTAAACTGCTGTGTTAATGTATCCTGATGGACAAAGATGGTACAAATGATGATGATGATGATAGTAACATCAATAGCTAATATTTATTAACTGCTTTATATATGGACAGGTACTGTGTAAGCATTCTAGAAACATTATTTCATGTATTGTTAACAACTATTCTGAGATAGGTATTTTATGATGTATATTTTACAGATGAGAATAATGAATTTTATGAACTTAGCCAAGCCCTATAGCTGGTAGTGAGTCTAGACTGAACCCAGGCAGACTGATTCTAGAAACTGCACAAAAAAACAAGTGGACTCAACTGCCTCCCAGGGAAGTGCCTATACCGGACAAATCAATTCTGGAGAAAATTATGAGTGTGAAAATGGTCTCACATGCTGTGATCCCTCTGCCCATCAATCTTTTTTTGTGCAAGATATCCTCTGTGCTTTTCCATCTCAGGTGCCCTCTCCAGCAGCGACAGATTTTCTTAGCTCTTCCTCCTACAGTCAAAAGCGACCTGAGGAGCATTCCTGTAATTCCTACTTACACGCTAATGGAATGATGGCAGGTCAAGTATTTATCTATAGCATAGTTGCTTTTCATAATTTTTCCAGGGACTAGATAATAATATAAAATAGTCAATTATAGGAGTTGCAGGACTGCCACGGAATGCCTTTTCAGATAGGCAGGCATTTTGGATTCCTTCACAGTGAACTGTACATAGAATGAGTTCTGTTTTAACTGTTTAGCTTTAAGTCTAATAAACCAAGAAAAATGGGCATATAAAGGCAGGGAAAATGTAAGGTCCCAAGATAAAATCTAAGATATTTACCACTGCTTTCTGGACTCTTAACAAACTTGCCTCTGCTTTCTTCTCCAAATCTCTCTCTCTTCTTGTCCTCTTTCTTAGGTATGGGAATACTTGACCATTATCAATTTCTAACAACTTACAAAAGGGCTATGGCCTACACCTTTTCTTTGCCATAAATACCACTCCAGCAGCTACGGATACCATCCTTCATTTCTCAGGTTAAATTATTCCTTTGAGAAGCTCTCCCTGAACCTTGAAGTGGTGGTAGGGGCTCCTCCTATGACTTCCAATGGTTCCCTATTTTATCTTTATTAAAATACTTATTACACTGTATAATAACTATAATTATGCCTAATACCCACTAGAATTTAACTCCTTCTTCACAAATGCTTGGTATTACTTTAGTCACGTATAGCAGACAGTTCTCACTCTCGCGCTCCTCTGCTCCCAGGATCAATCTAGGCTCCAAGTCCAGCCTCCTTTGCAGTTAGATGTGCTCATGTGACTCAGTACTATCTAACTAACAAAATGTGAACAGAAGTGACAAGGGCCACTACCATGTCTGGTCCATCTGATCCTTCTAGGCAATACGCTATTTTATATTCCCATGGTGAATTTGGAAGCCAAAAGTTAAAATTGCAAAATCACTGGAAGCCTAGGTTTCTAAATAGTTGTTTGAAGCAAACTTTCCTTACTTACCTAGAATAATTTTGGACTTTCACCTGAGCTGCTTCTTTCTAAATCTTTATTTTGAGGGATCTATTATATATATATTTTTTTTTCCTATGATATATATTATAAATATAAATATATATATTTCCTAGAATCTAGAATAATACTTGTAGGTACATTAGAAATCTATAAATATGTGTTCACTTAAAAAATCAAATGAATGAGTAGTATTAATATCTTAAACAATAAATTCTATTTTTCTCATATTAATTTATAAAAATACTAATGTTTATTTCATGCTTACCATGTATCATTGCTTTCCAAAATCAGATAAATAAAGTATCTCATTTAATACCCAAAATAATGTTATGAAGTATTTACTATCATAATCTCATTATACAGATTAGTAAATTGAAGCTTAGACCAGCTAAATCATTTGCCCAATGTATCCGAATTAGTAACTATATGAGCTAAGATTCAATTCGAATAATTTTATTCTAAAGCCTATGTCTTTACTCTTAAAAAAGTTATTCCTATATTGCTGTGTAGAGGAAAGCAATAAAATTTTAAATAACAGTGGAATAAAATAATATTTTATATGAATAATACTTTCACTTCATATAATCATTTCTAGGAAAGTGCTAAGAATTTCTAAGAATTTATGATGACACACAGTACCATCTTAGTGTCGTTTTAAACACCAAAAGAATCAGATGCTACACAGAAAGTTAGTTTTAGATTTGAGGATGATATCTAAGTTTCAAGGTTTCTAGTATTATTTTAAATACTTCATCGAGGCTTTGGCTTCATAAATGTTAACGGGACAGCAATTGCCTTAGAGATTTCTAGATTTCATTAACACACGAGTTTCATTAAATATATAAAATTAGAACTTACTTTTTTTTTTTTTTGAGATGGAGTCTCGCTCTGTCGCCCAGGCTGGAGTGCAGTGGCGCGATCTCTCCTCACTGCAAGCTCCGCCTCCCGGGTTCGCGCCATTTTCCTGCCTCAGCCTCCGGAGTAGGTGGTACTACAGGCGCCCGCCACCATGCCCGGCTAATTTT
The DNA here is from genome assembly GCF_000001405.40 of Homo sapiens. Classification (NCBI taxonomy): domain Eukaryota; kingdom Metazoa; phylum Chordata; class Mammalia; order Primates; family Hominidae; genus Homo; species Homo sapiens. The sequence goes on along the minus strand of NC_000004.12, from coordinate 85,576,276 downwards.
GTTTTTGTATTTTTAGTAGAGACGGGGTTTCACCGTGTTAGCCAGGATAGTCTCGATCTGACCTCGTGATCCACCCGCCTCGGCCTCCCAAAGTGCTGGGATTACAGGCGTGAGCCACTGCGCCCAGCCTAGAGCTTACTCTTAAATCAGCAATCAATCCTTGCACATTTAGAGGTCAGCCCTCAGGTTATAATTCACTCAGAATCACTTTGTCCTCTAAGTTAAGAAAATCCATTGTGATCTAATATAGTGTCATCTTGATCAGGCACAGAAAAAACCTTCCCCACATAATTGGATCAATATCTGTTGTAGAAAGTCTAGACCACATTAATTGGGTTGGTGCTTATTTAGATTTTAGTCATTTTATCAGGAGTTTCAGACTGGCTTCTAAAAATCGATGCCCTGCTGTGTCAAATTCTAGCACAGGGGTATGTCAGAGGCTTTCTCTAGTATGGCCAAGCTTGAGACTTAGCTTTTATTTAAGTAATAATATGCTACATAATAGAAGTAAAATAGGTGGGCCTGAAAAACCATTAGGAAAATTTATCACTGGATTCACTTAACAAAACCTGCACAATTGCCTTATTTTTAAGATAACTATAATCATACTTCATCTCTGACTTGGCTGCTCCCCCCATGTTATTGTATTGACAAGGCCATGGTCATTTGTCATGATTGATGAAACATGCCAGAACAGATATTGTCATGAATTCAGTTCAAATGTGTTTTAAAATCCTTTCTAATAGGTATCCAAAGTCCTTTGGGGTGTGCGGCGTAGGAGGAAGATTCTTTTTTATAGATTCTTCTGTACAGAATGATTTTACACTTTTTCCTCTGCATGTAAATACAATGAAATTTGTAAGATAAAATACAAAAGATATTACTTAAAAACTGGAAAAATTCAGCACTATAAAATGTTTATAGTAGTGGCCTGTGAGTGACAAGAATTATAGATGTATTAATGTACTTTCAAAAATGGCCTGCATGCATCACCTTCCTGTTTGTTTTTATAAAAACAATCAAAATCAACTTTATTTTTTAAATATGCTCTGGATAAAATCTGTATAAGTGCAAATACTTGTAGACAATGGATTCTGGAGACGGTTTTCTCCTAGATGAACTAAAGCTGCTTTTTTTAATTAAAAAAATTACAGGATAATGAGGATGTTTAGTTTGATTGATATTAAATATTAAATAGCTATATTATGAGACAAGCCTCTCATATTGCCAGGTATTGTTGGCTAAGCACTGGAAAGTCATTGTTTACAAATCAGGTACTGTCTCCAGAGAGCTGAGAGCCTTGAGGCACCTTTGCCTTTTGCTCAAAAAGAAAATACAAGAAAAGTGGCATTGAAACTTTCTAAGTTCTCAAATTTGGGCAGGTTGTTGAATATTTGGAAGGCAAGGTGCAAGTTGAATAAGAACATGAAACATTCATAGTAAGTTCCAATATTTAAGTACATAATGCACTAAATCAGATATAGTGTGTTCTCATAGCAATAAAAATTGAAGACAGAGACGTAAGGAAAATCTAATTGAGAAACTCATATTTATTAACTTAGGTTTTCAATGTATTAGGAAACAACTGTCATGATTCCTTTCTGAGATTAACATAGTTGTGTAGTTTGAGTATCACAGATGCTCTGGAAATAGCTTCTCACTGCCTACTAAGGAACCCCTTTTCCATTGGGGCCCCCCGTTTCTCTCTAACTGCATTCTTGCCATACATTCACCCTTGCAATATGGAGCTATCTATAGATATCTATTTTACAACTCCATGTCTTTCCTCTGCTCTGAATTCCTTTCCCCAATTTATCTACCTGGAAAACTCACATCTACCTTCAAAATCCCAGGTCAGGGTCACCTCTTGCCTTATGCAGCCCTTCCCAAGCCCTCTAGACAGTCCTCACTCACTCCTTGCCACTAACTGTACCTGTGTACTCATAGCATCGGCATTTTCAGGGTAGCCTGTCATTATTATAATTTTGCTTTCCCTCAACAGATGAGCAGTTTTTCATAATAAGGATAATGATGGAGTTTGATTTGACTCTTTTTATTGAGTAAAACAACTCAGTGAAAATTTACTATAATAAATTAAGAACTTTAACCAAGGACAAGAAGGACACACATTTCATGGGTTTTATACTCTCATTTTAGAAGTGCCTTTTAAGAAAGTAAAAAAACAAAAAGCAAGTTAAGATTATTGAATATTTCCAGCTGGTTAGGAATGTTTAAAAGAAAGAATTTTTAAAATTTTACTCATGATATTTTCTCCATATTATTGAAATAGACCGCATCAAAATATATGAAGACCATGGACATTCTTACGTTGGAAGCATTGAAGTGAAAAGAAAAAAGCAAGAAATACCTCTGACTAAAAGCAAAGGTAAAGGAAAGTTGAGGACTAATGAGAAGGCAAGGATGAGGCAGAGGAAGCACTGGATCTAGAAGCAAGAAAGTGACTCCTAGCTCCTCATCTGTCACTTATTAACAATGTCCTTTTGGCTGTTACACACAGATACACACACAACCACACACATGTAATCATAAACACACAAATACAAAATGACAGGTTTTAGGACAAATTATTTTCCACTTTCAACATTTTTCAAGGTGCTCAATTATTCTCCATTTAGATGTTATGATTCTTTAAAAGATATTCTACAATATATCACTGCAGGTCTTATTTAATGTGGCTTAAACTTTGTTGTTTTAAATAGCATGATTTTGATAGATGGGAGTTGAGAACAGTATCACTCATGGTGCCTTGGTCCTGGCCCTGCTGCTGCATGGCTCTAGACACATTCCACTGACTCATTAACTCATTCAAAAATATGCTATTAACAGTTACCATGTGCCAGGCATCTACTCTCACTTGGTCTATTTTAAGGGAAGAAATTAGGCCACTCATAGAACAATATAGAATGTTTGTATATTACAAAGTTCCCTCTGATACAGAAATTGTCAGTTCTTAATCTGAATTTGTATGCGTGTGTTTAAACATCAGGGCAAAACATTAAAAAGCTCAATGTTAAAATTCTCAGTGCTTGAATTGTATGAAAGTTAGTTAAAAAAGAAAATTCAAAGTTATTTCTCCCAAGGCTGGGCGCAGTGACTCACGCCTGTAATCCTAGCACTTTGGGAGGCTGAGGCAGGTGGATCATCTGAGGTCAGGAGTTCAAGACCAGCATGGCCAACACGGTGAAACCCGTCTCTACTAAAAATACAAAAAATTAGCCGGGTGTGGTGGCGCACTCATGTAGTCCCAGCTACTTGGGGTCCTGAGACAGGAGAATCGCTTGAACCCAGGAGGCAGAGGTTGCAGTGAGCCGAGATCGCACCACCGCACTCCAGCCTGGGCTACAGAGTGAGACTCCATCTCAAAAAAAAAAAAAAAAAAAAGAAAGAAAAAAGAATAAAGTTATTTATCCTACATTTTAACTGCTTTATTAATCACAAATCTTTAACAAATAATACATAGAATGAAAAATTTAAAAACATTTTTAGGGGGATGGTGATGGTCTGTTTGGTTTGTAAAAGAATTAGTACTTTTTGGTCAATACAAGTCTATTTTGTTAATTTTAGTTATAGTAAGTCTACAAATACTAGTAATACTAGTAACATGCTAATGTAAAAATACTATTTATCTTGGAAATACTATGAATTAATATAATTTTCATTTTGAGGTAGATTTTCATTTGAATTAATCTGGAGTTTTTACATTTTAAAATATATATTTTCAACTTTTTAATCAATATAACCACTAGAGTGCCTGCTAGTCATGAAGATACAGTGGATCCAAGACTGTGGTCCGTGTTTCTCAAATTTGAGAATGTGCAAATGTCAGAGAATGTGCACATGAATTCTAGTTTGAGGAACTCTGCCCTAAATTGTTCAAAAAAGATATTATCATATCGCCTGGGATATGGCCCTCTATGTATTTTTTCACAGATAGTATTCACTGTGTTCCTCCGTAACGAAATCCCCACATTGGACCCCCTAAATTCTGTCTTTTCACATTAACCTGGTTCCTTTCTCTGAGTTTGGTAAAAATAATTTTATATTCAAGATAATACCTTAATCTGATTATTAGATAATTATAAAACAAGGTGCAATTAGAAAAGAACCGTGGAGGGTAAGATAGGAGACAAAAAAACTCCATTAATTTGCCTATGATCTTGATTACATCACTTCATATCTCTAAGCCACAGTTTCCTCCTCTGTAAAAATAATCCCCATATTCCCCACTGGTTTGCAATGACAAATGAAATAACAGATATGGAAAGTACTATAACTGTCATGATACCAATATGGGACCTTCTTAATTTACTTACAATGTCTTGGGCTAAAGCTATACGAACTCAAACTTACTTGAGACAAATTATTAAACCACTGTTTGTTTAACTTTGGGTAATCTGCATTACACATAAACCTTGGTGTTCATGCACAAAGAGAGTTAACAATACCTACCTCATAGGATTATTTTAAGTATTTCATAAGATAATATATGTAATTTTTAGCCTGATGTCCAGCCTTGGTAAATGCCTAAAAAGTAGTAGCAATTTCAAAAAAAAAGACCAAGGTTTGTAGCATGTATTTTTATTGCTATTTTTAGGGAGTTCAATTAGAGGAATGAGAACATCATGAAATTATAATGCCTTAGGAACTTAAAATACTAAAGCAGAGACCTGGTCCAAATTCCTAATTAAGTTCTTTAACACAAGAGGAAATAGCCTCAAGAACATACTGTTAGGGTTGTTTATATAAACGAATCTAAAATGTTTCTTCTCTCATGTATGTATCCTATAGACGTAGATGAAAAACACACACATAAGTGATGCCTCAGTTTGCATACCCTCTCATCAACTGATAAGCCATGATGAACCTGAGAAAACTGTTGCAACTATGGAAATGCAGATGAAGATTATTCTTCTCTCTCATTGCAGTCTTGAGACTTGTGGTTGAGAAAATAAGTAAATAAGCAAATAAAGAACCACTAAGGAACTACAAAGCAACAGAGACTATTCACAGAAGGATTGGTACATTATGTATGCTGGTTGAATGTATCAGTGTCATTTGGTTTAGTACCACATCCATATTTTATGTGAGTTAAGGTATGGAGGGAAACCTCTGAGAATTGATACTGAAAATGTCTCATAAATTACTGAAAGTTGTGCCTACAGTTCTTCCTTCAAACCTGTGCTTTCCATTTACTCCTGAGAAAAAGAAAGATGTTTTGGCTATGATATATCTTTTAGCAGATGTCTACTAAAATTTTCTCATGAACTAAGTTTGCCAGAGGAAGTGAGACCTTCTCCTCTGGCTTAGTAAATATTAAAATTAATATTAGACAAGTATAATTTGCCTCTTGGCCTCAATTAGCGATTTTATTATCTCCAACTCAAAGCAAGCAATGGGTAAAAGGGTGAAAGATGACAATGAACTGAAGGAGACCAGGGAGCTTTGGGTGGTCTCAGTCCCAATCGGTTTCTAGCAAATCCCTCTATTTCTTGGCTTTCTTAGGCCCTTAATGCTTTACATTTTCTCCTACTCACCAAGGGCTTGGTTTCATCTTCATCTTTGAAATAATAGAGCTGATCCCCCTTGAGCACAAACCAGCGAGTATGCCAAGTCTTGACAAAGCCTCCTTGCTTCCTCAGCCACCCACACTTGATGGCATTCTGCCGCCCTTGGCCTTGTTGGGGGTTCTCCGTGGAGTCATTGTTCTCCTCCATTATCAAGCTGATGGACTTTCCTAGTTAGCAAACAAAAAGAAAGGAAAATAATGAGGTGCTCTGTTATATTCAACTCCCTTTTAAACCACTCTTCTCCAGAAAAAAAAAAAGAGAGAGAGAGAGGAAAGAAAGAAAGAAAGAAAGAAAGAAAGAAAGAAAGAAAGAAAGAAAGAAAGAGAAAGAAAGAAAGAAGAAAGAAAAAAAGAAAGAGAGAGAGAGAAAGAGAAAGAGAGAGAGAGCAAGGGAAGTAAAGGTAAGGAAAGGGGAAGGGGAAGGGAGTGGGAGAAGGGGTGAAAAATGTTCCTCAACTCATTGGCCAAATTTCTAGACACAAACCACAGACCTGGCAACAATATGCCCAGAGGAAACGTGGAGAGAGCTTGTTGTGCCCTCCTGCCTTCTTAAATGAATTCAGCAGCTGAGTGGTGCTCTTTGTCCCTAAGTAGAACTGAAAAATAAGTAAGTTCTAGAGGTAATGTGTGAAGAAGGAATTTCTAAAAAAAACCTAAGTAGAACTGAAAAATGAGAAAGTTCTAGAGGCAATGTGTGAAGAAGGAATTTCTATAAACAAACTAAAACATAACTCTCAAGATTATGGCCTCTGTGTCTGTTGGGCACAGCCTAGGACAGGCCCCTGCAGGCCTAGGTTTACCTGAGCAAGAGCTAGCCTGACGTGTGTCCCCATTTCAAGAGACTATTCAGAAAATCTTAATGGAAGACATTTGTCTTACATAGGTGAACATATCTCAAGATGTTTCTACCCTCTGTTTCCCAGACTATTCCCTCAACAATTTCTTTGGCTGGTCAGGGATTCGTACAGCTGAAAAAGTTTAAGAGAAAACAAACAAACAAAAACACCTGCTTTTGCTAGTTTTTTCTATAGTTTTTTCCTTTCTCCTACAGCCATTCTCAAGCTTCAGGAGGGTGTGGTGTGCACCAGTCATGACATGATGAGGAATATTTTAAGGTTATGTGTGAAGGAGTATACGGCCATACTACCTATACATAAGCAAGAAAATGAGTTCTTCATTGGAAAAATATTAACCAACAGGTGAGATGCTAAAACTGCCCCAGTAAGAACAGAGAAGGTGGACATTCTGGGGGAGCCAGGGACAAGTGGTTAAAAGAGATTTTCCTGTCCCAAAATCTTCTTCCAAATTCTTGCTAATGTTTATTTCTAAACATTTATTCAGGAATTGGGAAGCCCTCTCTAACTCTTGTGTCTTTGATGAGGTTATAAAGATATTGATTATCTGATAAAACGTAGATTATTCCTGTCCAGGCATATATTATCTGATAAAACGTAGATTATTCCTGTCCAGGCATATAAACAAAGTCCCTGTTTTATCATTTCTGATCAATTCTGGAAGACAAGCTGTCTTTCTGTCTGGTCTTTATATTCATCACTATTTTTTAATCAATTTGCATGTATACAATTCTACTTATAAATTCCATGAAGTTTCTATTGTCAGCCCTTGGTCATTTTTGTTTCTTCCTTGAAGGCTCAGGGTCAAATCTTCCATAATTGCACTTCAAGTTCTCTCAATTTAGTCCTGCCATTCCTGTTGCAGGGATGAAGCAGAACTTTCGTTCTAATTACTTCTTATTTTAATAACTTCAACCATCTTTGCAGAAGATTTGCCTCCTTCACTGGCATATATTTCAATCTATCACTATCCTTGCCTTAATCTTCACCTCTTAAACTACTTTTAAACTTCAAGGAGGTCACTTGACTATTTTCTGTCTCATTCAATACGCACTTCTTTCCTTTCTTAAAAAACAGGCCCCTGTCTCTACAATACGTCTGGACACTTCCTTTGCTCTATGGGGCATTCCATGACCATAACCACTTATTGCAGAAAACACTCTCCCCTCAGGTGTGTGCCCGTGTGTCTGCAGACTGGACCATGCCTGATGCCTCCAATTTGCTATGCCCTGCAGAGCAGGAACTTTCATCTCCTTTCTTTCGCAGTACCCGACCTACTATGATGAGCCAAGAACTCCACTCTAACTGAACAATTAATGCTGTAAGGTAATTTAGATAATAAGTATGCTTAGCTAGACCACCCTAAATAATCTTTTTCATCTCCTGGTATTTAAACTGCTTAAATCTACACAACTTGCTGTTTCATCACTGCCTATTTATTCTTTGACCAAACACCTTAATTTATAAAGTTAAATGGGACCTTAAAACAAACATTCCACCACACACACACGCCCCCCTCCCCCCCGCAACAAACATGCACACACAAATCTAGAATTCATTGCACAACAAATTACTTAGGGCCCTTAGGTAATTTTTTCTTTCCTCTCAAATTCATGCTTTCTATGAAGTTTGAAAAATTCCCTCTAAAATGCTTCAAGGTTATTAGCAACCTACCATTGATAATATAAAAAATACAAGTAGATATTTCCCCTTTTGTGTACATTAATGCCTTAGTGAGAAATGTGTGTACACTAGAACATGGTTTCTGATTCCTTTTGCATATGTTGTTTATAAGTCTGACCGAAGTCAATGACAAATTGCCCACTGAACTGACTATAATGCCTATATTTTTATGATTTCAGAATGCATCGGAAAGTGCTTTACTAATGCTAATTGAAGACTAATTGTAACAATTCATTAAAACAGAAATGAAAACAGACTTATATGCCTAAGGGAAAAAATGCCACAACTATTGTTAGATGAGGAAAATTAAGTTTTACTAAAACAACCATAATTTTTATAGAGAAGTCTTAATATTTCTGGAGAAATAAAATGATTAAAATTCTACACTTCATCTTTAAAATGAGGATGCTGGGCTGGATTATTTCCAACTATGGTCTCTTCTAGCACTCTGAAATCTATCATCTCTGTAATTCCATAAGTGTAGGGACATCAGATACCCTTACTACTCAGTACGATGTCTGGCATGCAGTGAAGCTCAATCAATGTTTGATGAAGTAATCAATTTTGCAATAGGTTTCATACTAAGTGTCTAAAAGTGAACACGATCTCCCTTTGAAACATGATCTTCCCCCAAACCTGATCTTAGTAAATGACACCATGATACACCCAGTTGCAAAGAAAAATATACAGAAAACTGATCATTTGATTCATAACTCTTCCTCACCCCGGATATCAAATCAATCAGTAAATTCAGAATACCTCTAAAAAATAGTTCAAATCCATCCTTTTGGCTTCATCTCTATTGCCACCTTATGGTGCAGTCCACTATTATCTTTTGAGGAGATGATTCTAATAGCCTTCCAAGGAGTCTCACTGCTTCCATTTTTAGCCATAAACACAAACACACAGGTACATGCTCACACATATTTCATTCTCTAAAATGCAGCCAAAGCGAGCTTTTAAAGATTCAAATCAGATAAGGATTCTCAACATCTGAAAATGTTGTTGGCTTCCCACTGTACTTATTTCAAAATCCAGAGTCTTACCATGGCCTATAAGGCTCTGAATCATCTGGCACCTCTTTACCTCTCTAACCTAATCTCATGCCACCTTCTCCCCATCCCTCCCCATACCATACACATACATACTTAACCACTCTTGTCTCCTTTCAGTTCTGGAAACAGCCAAGCTCCTTTATCCCTTGCTGATTTCTGCCTAGAAAACTCTGTCTTGGGCTCTTTTCATGCTCAACTCCTTTTTATCTAAGTTTTGGCTTAAAATCTGTCTCCTCCAAAAACCTTCACTAATCACCCTGTGAATCAGGTAACCTCTTTCTATTCTCTATCGCTGAACTGTGTCCTTTGTCTCCCTGACACTTCTCTAAATTGCTATGTCTTTAGTTGTTTATTGTCTATCACCCCACCAGGAGACCATAAGCTTCACGAGGTCAAGGACATGGCTTTCCTTGCTGTGCATACCCAGTGATACCCAGTGCCTTTAATAGTGCTTACCTGGTACTCAATAAACCTGTTGAATCAACAGATGGAGCTCTGCAATAATCACAAAAGAATCTCTACAAAGAATATTTTAGAGGCTTCTTTTTCATTGCATTTAATGCCTTAAAGAAGAATGTGTACGCTAAGAACTTGACTTTTTTCCTTTGACATAGAAGACTTCAATTAGCATGAAAATTGTTCTTAAACACAATGTCAAAATCATTACACTTGAAAGAACCTGAAACTGCCCTTATGAAAAAAAATTCAGAATTTATACTTTTTAGTCTTGGCAGGAAATACACATAACCAATTGTGGTTTAACACTAAGTACAGTTTATTCACTCAAATTCTCAGAGAATGATTTCACTGAATCTCCGCTGGGAAAATACTTTCACTGAAGTCAGGCCATGGTAGCTGGGTGGTATGTGAGATTACAAAATAGAGCTATCACCTTGGTTAGAAAACCAACATAACAATGAACAAAGTAATAATCTAAATAAACAGTTATTCCAAACTAAAACAAAAACAGAACTGAGAAATTAACCTGTGCCTTTGTATCAATCTTAAGACAAAAACCTTAATGATGGCTACTGTACCACGCCATAGCTAGACAGTTCTCAGCATTTGATGGGCTTGTAGCTTTTGAATTGTTTTCCAGAGGAGGAAACTGGTTTCAACAACTGTTTGTATGGTTCTTTGTTGCAACCAGATGGGCCAAGAACACAACAGTATGACATGGTGCAATCAGAGACGAAATTCATGCTCCTGAAAAACTCTTCTAAGAGTCAAACCATACACACATAGATATTTAGATGTGTGACTTCATTTCAACAAAGAATATATAAGCATGCGTATAAACAAGGATGTAAATAAAGAGGATGCCACATACCACAGAGTTGCAATGTATTTGAAATTACAATACCTTACTATACATGTTCAGCAAACATGAGAGAATGAAATAGTAGGAGAGAGCTAGAGAAAAGGAAAGAGGGCGAGGGAACAACTTAAATAACACAGGCAATTCCACCACAATGCATCCACTCAGTGAATGCACGCTCCCAGGGCAAGAGTGAAGGGGACCAAATACATCTCCATGCTTTCAATCAGTGTCAGTTTCCTTGGCGTCTGGTGGGGTGAGTGAGTATTTCACTGTATAAATGTGTTCCCAGAATTTGAGTGCACATGATTTCCTACCTCATGTCCCCTCAATCAGTCAAAGAAACAGTGATCTGTCCTATTGCTGGGGAAGAAAACAAAACAAAACTGGCAATGTTGGTAAAATACTGCAACCTATGAGAGATTTGTGGGACTTTGAGAAGAAATTTGGTCACAACCAATTGTCACCATTTGTGTTGACTTTAGAACATAAATCCTTTTCAAGATGTGATTCCACTGTACACAGTATATAACTGCAGAGAGCCAATATTTACCTAAATTCTACTTTTTCTTATTTTAAACAAAATAGTTTATTTTATAGGTATTGCTAATAGGCTGGTTTGTCAAGCGGCAGGATATTATATTGAGCTGTATGTCTACGTGCTAGGTATATCCTTTCTGTACATGACTGTTCACACTACAAAAACTTACAAAAGAAATGAGACAGCATGCGCATGTGTTTATAGGTATACATGCAAGTGCACATATGTGTATGGGTGTGTGTATGTGTGGGTGTATGGTGGGTGTGGGTATATATATATATATATATATATATATATATATATATATATATATACCGTGTGTGTTCTGCCTAGAGCAGGGGTCCCCAACCCCCTCGGCCACAGACCAGTACCAGTCTGTGGCCAGTTAGGAACGGGGCCACACAGCAGGAGGTGAGCTGTAGGCAAGCGAGCATTATTGCCTGAGCCTCATCTCCTGTCAGATCAGCAGTGGCATTAGATTCTCATAGGAGCTCAAACCCTATTGTGAACTGCCCAGCAAGGGATCTAGGTCGTGCGCTCCTTATGAGAATCTAACTAATGTCTGATGATCTGAAGTGTAACAGTTTCATCCCCAAACCATCTCCCCCTCACCCCGTGAAACTGGTCCCTGGTGTTAAAAAGGTTGCGGACCACTGCTCTAGAAAACAAAATCTTTTTTTTTTAATTTTTTTTTATTATTATACTTTAAGTTCTAGGATCCATGTGCACAACATGCAGGTTTGTTACATATGTATACATGTGCCATGTTGGTGTGCTGCACCCATTAACTCGTCATTTACATTAGGTATATCTCCTAATGCTATCCCCCCCGCTCCCCCCACCCCACAACAGGCCCCGGTGTGTGATGTTCCCCTTCCTGTGTCCAAGTGTTCTCATTGCTCAATTCCCACCTATGAGCGAGAACATACAGTGCTTGTTTTTTTTGTCCTTGCAGCCATAAAAAATGATGAGTTCATGTCCTTTTTAGGGACATGGATGAAGCTGGAAACCATCATTCTCAGCAAACTATCGCAAGAACAACATCTTTAACGACAAAATATTTGTTGGTATTCTTTTCTCATTTTTTAAATACTCAGTGCCATGGCACTGGAAGTCATGTAAGCATATGCCTGCAGATCTGACATTCTTTGATGAAGCAAAGGACATAAGAGTGTTGCCATCCAGTGTTTACTAAAAAACCTGATTGTGCTATTATTAAAGTCAATCAGTGGAGTGATAGATTTATTTTTATCATTTCTCAGAACATTTCCTCAATAACTGTAGCTGTGTACCTGATTTAGAACCTGGAACTCTTTTAGTGTCCTAAATATTTAAATAATTTCAGGATAAAATGACATAACAAGCATTTTTCTCATGTAAAGTCAGTCACCCCTTACTTGATTTAATGTGTTCAGCTCTCTACATTGGCTCAGCTGTGAATGTTGAATGTGAAAGTTGAATCCTACCAAATCTCTCCTTTGTCCATTTTCCAACTCCATCTAGATTTTCCCTGGATGCAATGAATGCCATCCTTCCTAATCCTCACTACCTATAGCAGAAGTTAGTGCCCCACAAAGAATCCTCTTACTTGTTGTTACGGACTGAATGTTTTGTGCCCTCCAAATTCATATGTTGAAGTCCCAACACCCAGTGTGATGGTATTTGGATATAGGGCCCTTAGGAGGTAATTAGGATTTGATGAGGTCATGAGGATGGGGTGCTGATCCAATGGGATTAGTGCCCTTATAAGAAGAGACACCAGAAAATTTGTGGTCTCTTTTTCTGCATCCACACAAAGAAGAGCTCATGTGAGCACACAGCAATATGTTGGTCGCCTACAAGCCAAGAAAAGAGGCTTCAGAACAAAACCTACCTTACCAGCACCTTGATCTTAGACTTCCCTGCCTCCAGAACTGTCAGAAATGAACTTCTGTTGTTTAAGCCACACAGTCTATGGTATCTTGCTATGGAAGCCTGAGAAGAATAAGATACCTGCCATTGTGCCCACTCCACCACAGGGTCTGAATGTTGGCTGGTCACCACAAACCTTAGCCAATGACTAACTAGAAAGGGAGTAACAAAGGCAGCCTTCTTGACTCATAGGGAACTTTGTATTTCAGTCTGTGCTCCAGAGCTTCTGCATGAGATTAGGTCAAAGCCAGTTTATACTGAACTTGATTCCCTGCCCCATCCTGCTTCCCTCACTTCCCTTCTCCTGAGTGCATTCCATAATAAATTACTTGAGCAACAATTCTCACCTCAAGCTCTGCTCTAGGAACTCTGGCCTTAGACTCTTCCAAGCTGCAGATGCTTCAACTTTTTGTCACCCTCACTACCCTTCCTAACCTCACCTACGGTAACAATGATAGTTCAACATTGAACTTAGTGTCATTCTTTCTTGCTAAATGTGGCAAAGCCTATTGTTGCCTTCAAGTTTCTGCCCACTTTCCTTGTCCCAATCACGCCATTCCTGATATTCTGCATCTCAGGTCTGGGGAAGCCAGGAACACAATTAGGATGAATTTGTCAGTACCACCTCCTAGTTTATGGATGGTTGGCTGAAAGTAAGAGTGTGGTAGGAGGATACTATTAGGGAGTATAAGTATAAATGGGAGGAATGCAAGTGGAATATGGAAGCACAGGTGGTGGTAGAGAGAAGGGGCAAGAGTCAAGGACAAACATTTTCATTTCCATCATAAAAGTCTAAATCTCCATGTTCTACCCTGTGTCAGACATAAAATTATGTAGCTATGTGGCTCAACCTTGAATAAAATCTTGTTCATACACACAGACAGACACACGTACACACACACACACAAATTCACATAAAACTAAGTGTACTGAGAATGAGCAATACCTTTAGAACTCATGGAGTGCCTACTCTGTAGAAGACACAGTGCAAATCCAGTGTCTTTCCTTGATTACTATCATAGTAATCACATCGCTTTCCTTGATTACTATCATAGCCTTCTATTTAATCTAATCTCTGATTTCATTCCTAGCACAGTGATATGATGGATTCTTTCCATAGCATTAGCATTTTCTTTTAGAAAGCAAATCAAGTCATGTTACCACCATTCTAAAACTATCTAATAGTTAAACACTTCCACTCAGAGTTAAATCCAAATTCTTTGTCACGGCCTATATGGCCCCTAACAATCCCTGCCTACCTTTCCTTGAACACTTCCCTCACATCTTTGAACAGCTAATTTCTCACCATTCAATTCTCAGTTCAATTCTCAGTTCAAATGTTGCCTTATTATAGATGCCCGCCTCGGCCTCCCTTACTAGAACCATCCTTCATCCCTCACCACATTCTATCATATTTCCTTATTTTATTTTTTCCACAGCACACGAGAATCCCTTTTGTATTCGGTTTTCCTTGTCATTTCTCTGTCTCCCCTTTGGCACATGAGCACCTTGAGGATGGAGGCCTTCTAACCAGTGTATTGAGCAGAGGTAGCAGAGAGTGGCCATTAAATACACAGTTACGTGTCGAATGCATGAACACCTCCTAAGGCATAAAACTACCAAAAAGCATAAAACTATAAAATGGTAAAAAAATATACCAGATAGCTAAAGATTCATACAAGAGCTAGGATGCAGAGAAGGACATATAGAAGGTTTTGCAAACATGTGCATTTACCAAAAACTACATAACGAAAAATATTTAAATAATTAGATCTTAGTGACTTACAATAAGGGGAAAAAGTAACTGCTAACTAAAGAAAACAGATGAGTTTTCTCAGTTCACTTTCTGTCCCCTCACTCTCCACCATACCACCTTTTTCTTGAAGAATAAATCAAAATGTGGTGCCGACAAGGGAATCAATCCTCTAGGTCCAAAATAACAAAGGATGTAATAGAGATTGTTTTAGCTCTGATACAAATTCCAGGAGCCTAAATATGTTTATGGGAAGCAATTGGATTTCTTAAAGTAGCTGGAAGGGCTTAGGACTTTCACCTGTGGTTTTCCCACTGCCTGGACATCATGGTTAACTTCTATTTATCCTTCAGGTCTTCTACAAAGGCTTCCCTGGTGCCACCACCACCCCGCTCTGAAAGTTCCCCTTGCATGATACCATCCTGGACATGACCCTTATCACATGTAGACCTTGTTTTTATTACTTCTCAGTGTTCTACACCACAATAGACTCCCTGGAACCCATCAGATGAACTAGAATATAGTGAATGCTCAAATAATTGTTAAATAAATGGCAAACTGATGAATAAGTGAATGAATGCTTCAATCCATCTTTGTGTTTCAGTCAGTCTTTGGGGTCTACATTAAAATTGACACCAAAGCCCTCAAAGATCCTGAGTACTGTACAAAAATCATAAAACATTTGCCGTTGTTACTAGACACAAATGCAAGGACATCATGACCAATTCTCTCTTTTAAACCTAACCCAAATTTAGTGGCTTAAAGCTAAACTGAACTTCAAAAATGATTGAACCAAGTGGATTGCCATTTGTCTCACTGGATGCTACTCTTAATCATGATTTGAGTTAAAAATAAACATTTCTTCTTGAAAATGAAAAGTATAACCATGAAAAGAACAATGGGAATTAAATGAAGCACAACAGCCACGAATATAAAGTCAAAAATAGTCACCAGAAGGGCATACCTGGGGGAACTTACGTACAGTTATTTTCATGAAGAAACACTACAAAATCCTGTTGCTTGATTAAATTGTTCAAAACATCACAGAATAGACAATAGCAAAAAATGATGTGTATATTGGGATGGATCAGGAACATCAATCTCCATATTATATTTTAAGCTTCAACGTTTCCGTATTCATTTGCTAAGAAATCAAAATGACTTACTGAAATGAACCATAAAAAAGGAAATTTCTCCTAAGAATTTAGCTTTTGTTGTCTACTTAATGCCTCATACATTGTAGAGAGAATCTTTTCCCTCTTAAGATGGCTTTAATTCAACTAGAGAGAAAATTATATATATTAATTTTAATATATGTATAATACTTTAATATATACTTAGAACTGCCCTTCACCACCACAGTGATATCTGAAGGACAAATAAAAAAGACAACCACTGGAATTCCCCATGCTGATAACCTGAGTAGAAACAAAAATCAAATCAAAACATATACTTTACCATTGATTGGGATTAAGAAAGAACTGCTGCTTGTGAAGCCCAAGGCAGACATTATTAATTAATCACCTGTGTTCACCCCCAGATGCCATCTCAATCCAGTACTCTAGGCAGTCACAACCAACCAATCATATATGGAAAGGTAAGAAAGACTCTTTGCTAATTCAATTCTGTAGACAAACTAAGAACTGAAGATATCCCTTAAATATCAAATAGAAACTCCAGTGCTTTTCCAAAAGCAATGGCATCTGAAACGGGAAAAGATGAGAAATTCAACTTATTTTAATGGAAAGTGAAGACGGCAACTATCATTTCATCATATGGCCACAGAGAAACAAAGAAAACAAGCCTGAAGCAGGGAAGATGAAAAGAAGTTGGATGTCTCTTATTTTATATTTATTAATTGAATCTGTGACTAGACCCCTCAAAATAGGATCAGAAACATGATGTTATAAACATCTCAATTTTTAAGCTTTTGTGTGTACTCCACTCCCTCACCCATAGTTTATTAATATGATTTTGTTTTGAAAAACTGTCACAAAGAAAAGAAATTTGGGGAGGCCCAGAAGGCTTCTGAAGATGTTGGTCCAAATATACAAAATGCCAATTAGACAGGAGGAAAATGTTCAAGAGGTCTATTGTATAACATGACTATAACAATGTATTGTGTTCTTAAACATTGCTAAGAGTAGATCTCAAGTGTTCTCATCACAAAAAATAAGGATGTGAGGTAATGTTTATGTTAATTTGTTCAATTTAGCCATTCCAGAATGTATGTGTATTTCCAAACATGATGTTGTACATGACCAATGTATATAATGTTTATTTGTCAATTAAAATGAACTCATTTATTAATTTTTAAGAGGTTTTCCACACCTAAATCTGAAAAGTAATAGGATTATAATACCCAAGGGATGGGAGAGCAATGGCAGTAATGAAGGAGAGCTTTATGCACATAGCAGAGAGAATTGAGAGAGGAAAGCTGAAGCCCGTATGACACTGAGAAAGTCAGCTGGGTCCTTTCCTCATTATGGGGAAATAACTGCTGTGCCTATAATTTATAGAGCCCCTCCAGCACTTTCCCTGATGTCTATAATTTTTAAGCTAAGATGAAAGCTTTCCTGAAACACTACTTTTAATATCAGGTTCCTTTAGTGAGTCTGACCTAGGAGAATCAAATGTTGTTGATTGCATTATCATTTCAAGCCCCTCAGTGGGGCCAGCTATTTATTCAACTACACTTCAAAGAAAATATTTTACAAGTGGGTAACTTTGATGGAGATAGTCATTTGTCTACAATGAACTCTCCAATTTTCTCCTTCAAATGAAAACCCCGAGGTACTTAATGATTTCCAATAAGGACCACTCATTTTTGTCAATTAATCCTGTGGGTGGAACATCGTCAGGCTTGCTCTAAAGCCTAGCAAAATGATTAGGCTTTCTAAGTATATAAATCTTGTGCTAATCACTAAACCACAGTTGCTCTCCCAGTGGTTTCTTATATGGAGGTATGGACAACACAACTTTTTTTTTTTTAGAATCTGAGGAAGGTAGGGAAAAACTTTTGTCAAAGTGAAAATAATAGCATCATTCATATTATGGTAGACTTTGATGTGTTAAACTGTGATCTTTGATGAAGTACTGCTATTCACATATAATTTGAACATATTTTAGCACTTCAAAATATCTGATTATTTCACACTTTAGTTTTAGATATGCTAAACAGAAATGTAGCTTTACTGCACCTGAATACATTTAATTAGCAGTTTAGAGAAAGAGAAATAAATCTTCTACATAAAACATAATTTTTTAAAATTAAGAAGTTTGGTGGCACATATGTTATTTGAAGTATCCAAGAGCCTGTCTCTGAGGACTCCCCTCTCCCTCATCCCATGTTTTTCTCGTTGATGCCACCATCCCTTTGCTAAAGGGATGGGCTTGAACTTAGTTGCTCATAGAACCTGAGCTCCCTAGCAACAGTGACTGGCCCAGGAAATGGACATGTGACTCAGACAGTGCCAAGTAGAGTCTTCCCTTAGGATAGGGAAGACACTGAAAGGATGAGCATCTGAGGTTGGCGGCATTCATCTTCCCTTTTAGCAAAGCCATTTGTAAAATGACGCTATGCAGAGACAAGCTGGTGTGAGAGAGGAATGGAGAGAGAACCCAAATACATTTGTAACCTGAGGAAAGGGAATGATTCACTTAGAAAGGATAAAGTAATAGCATAAAAATTATAATGTACACTTCATTAAAGATAAAAAATATGTGCTCATCAAAAGACATCACTAAGAATATGTAGTCTTCTGTGACCAGAGGAATTGGGAGATCCACAGGGAAAATGCCAGGATACCTGGAAGCTAGGAAATGATTACAGAAATATTTCTACATGGAGGCCAAGATGGCTGACTAGCAGCAGCCAGTGTGCACTGCTTTCACGGAGAGAATAAAGAGTGGTGGGTTGACACTAGCTCTTCAACCGGAACATCCAGGTGAACACATTGGGATTCATCAGGGAAACAGCATGACCCACAGAGAACAGAGAAGAGTGAGACAGGAAAACTGCCCACCTGGAGTGGCCCAGAGCCAGGGGAGTCACCACACTGGGGAAACAGTGAGTAAGTGAGAGTCCTCAGGGACCCACACTTCTACCACTTCTGCTCAGGAAATCCCCGCAAACTCCCCTGCTGCGGCCTCCAGACCAACACAGAGAACTACGTGGGAGTCTGGGCAGAGCCCTGCTCAAGCACACATGGAGTCCTGGGAGCCTTGGATCCTCAGGCACCCTGGCACCAGTGGCTGCAGGTCCAGCAATGGGGAAGGTCAGCCTCCCTCACATGCCTGCAGGAAAGGAACCAAATCCACAGCTGAGCAGTGATGGACTGCAAGCCATGCCTCCACTGCACCTTGCAGGATAAGGCCCATTGGCCTGGGGTGCTGGTGAGGCCACCCCAGCCCCACCTGAGTTCTTGGGCAGGGAGCAGCTCTGCAATTCCCTGGGACAGAGCTCCCAGAGGGAGAGGTAGCCTGCCATTTTTGTTTCTCTGCAACCCACCCTCCTGTTGCTCTCAGGCTCCAGAGGGTGTGCAGTGACTCGGGACTCTCCCAGACCCCCGGCAGAGCTGCCTTATGGAAAAGGGACAAGACTGTGTTCCACATAGGTCTCCACCTCTGCTACTGCTCACTGGGCAGGGCCTCCAAACCTGGGACTTTAGTGACCCCCTCCTGGGCTCTCAGAATGGTAGCAGCTCTACACTTTCCTGGGATAGAGCTCCTAGAGGGAGGCAGGGCACCATTTTTGCTGTCCTGCAGCCCTTGCTCCTATTGCCCTCAGGCTCAGGAGGGAGTGGAGTGGTTGGAGACCTATGGAGATGCCCAGCACAGTGCAGCCACCTTACAGAAAAGCAGCCAGACTGTTTTCCACATGCGTCCCCACCTCCCCTACCCTTCACTCGGCAGTGCCTGTTGACCTGGGCCCCCAATATGATTAACCTGCCCCCACCTGAACACTTTAGTCAGTGGTGGCTCTGCATTTCTCTGAGGAGGAAACCCCAGAGACAACCCAGAGCATGTATGACATTGCAGTTGCAGCAGTACTGCCCTGACTGTCCTCGGGCTGGGGAAGGAACAAAGGGCCTGGTTGCTATGCTGAAACCTCCAGCAAGCTGCAGCTATCATATGGAGAGGAGCCCAGTCTCTTTCCAGCGAGCTCCCACACCCCACTCTTCACCAGGCAGGGGTCTTGCCTCAAGATCACTGAAGAGCTCCTCCACCCGCAACTGAGAATTCCCATTGCTAATGGCTTTGTGTTTCCCTGGGGAGGTGATCCCAGAGGCAACCAACAGCCTCTCTGTACCTGATGCCCTCAGTCTGGGGAAGAAATAAAGAACCTGAGGGTTTTACTCATACTTCTAGCACACCACAGTTATTATATAGAGAGAAGCTCAGGCTCTCCTCTCTGTGAGCCCTCAAACCCCCACTCTTCACCCAGTCGGGCCCCAAGCTTGGGCCAGCAGTTGCAGTCACCCCCACCCACCAGCTGAACATTCCCAGTAGCAGTTGCTCTGTGTTTCTCTTGAGATGAAGCTTCCAGAGGCAACCAAAAGCCCCTCTGCCACTGCCATTGCAGTGGTACTGTCCTTGCTGCCCTCAGACTGGAAAAGGAGCAAAGACTCTCAGTGATTTAACCACACCTCCTTTAGGACAGCCACTGCTGTCCTAAAAAGAAGAAGCCAGTCAGTTTCCCCCCATGAGCCACCTGGCCTCTCTGCTCATCAATATGCAGGGCCCCCTGGCTTGAGTCCACAATGCAGCCACCCCACCCCAGGCTGATAGCCCCAACTGGGAGTGGCTCTGCCATTTTCTGATATGGAAACCTGAGAGACAAGTGAAAGGCCCTCTTCCACATGTCCCTACCCATGGCAAGGTCCCTTCTCCTGCTGCCTCCCAGCTAGAAAGGAACATAAAGCCTGAGCTCACCCAGGGCTGCAGTGTGCAGCCAAGAAGTGCCAAGCCAAGAGCTATAGCCAGGACTTGAGTGGGAGAGGATTCCACACTCTTAGAGCACAGAGAGGGAGCATATCGCAGTCATGAGGAAATACAAAGCAGTGAAGTGACTAAGCAAGAGCCTACCTACTGGTCATTATGCTTAAGCACCACCTACTTGATCACAACCCAAACTTCAACAACAAAAATACTTTGCTAATATAGGCCACCTTCTGCCCACACTGTGAAACCAAGGACAAGAACTCAGCCACAAATAAAGTTCCTGCACAAAGCCTCAACCCTCCAAAAACATCCTGAAAAGAAGTCAACTGACTGTACTCAAACTAAAGCACATGGTGGGGTGTGGCAGCTGCATTGAATCACCCCACACAGATGAGAAAGAACCAGCACAAGAACTCTGGCAACTCAAAAAGCCAGAGTGTCTGATTTCCTCAACAACTGCACTAGTTTCACAGCAGGAATTCTTAACCAGGATGAAAAGACTGAAATGAAAGAAATACAAATCAGAATATGGATAGGAACGAAGAGCATCAAGATTCAGGAGAAAGTCAAAACCCAATCCAAGAATTCTAAGGATTACAATAAAATATGATACAGGAGCAGTTAGATGAAATAGCCACTATAAGAAAGAACTGGCTGGGTGCGGTGGCTCATGCCTGTAATCCCAACACTTTGGGAGGCTGAGGTGGGCAGATCACGAGGTCAGGAGATTGAGAACATCCTGGCTAACACAGTGAAACCCCATCTCTACTAAAAATACAAAAAAAAAAAAAAAATCAGCTGGGCGTGATAGCGGGCACCTGTAGTCCCAGCTACTCAGGAGGCTGAGGCAGGAGAATGGCGTGAACCCGGGAGGTGGAGCTTGCAGTGGGCCAAGATAGCACCACTGCACTACAAACACTCCAGCCTGGGTGACAGAGTGAGACTCCATCTAAGAAGAAAAAATAATAATAATAAAAATAAAAAGAACCAAACTGATCTGATAGAGCTGAAAAACACACTACAATAATTTCATAATGCAATCACAAGCATTAACAGCAGAATAAATCAAGCTGAGGAAAAATCTCACAGCTCAAAGACTGGTTCTCTAAACTAACTTGAACAAAAATAAAAAATAAAGAATAAAAACGAGAAATATGGGATTATGTAAAGAGACCAAATCTATAATTCACCAGTGTCCTTGAAAGATATGAGGAGATAACAGGCAATTTGGAAAACATATTTTAAGATATTATCCATGAAAACTTCCTTAACCTCGCTAGAGATGCCAATGTTCAAAATCAGGAAATGCAGAGAATTTCTATGAGATATTACACAAGAAGACCATCCTCAAGATACAGAATCATCAGAGTCTCCCAGGTCAAAATGAAAGAAAAAATGTTAAAGGCAGCTAGAGAGAAGGCATAGGTGACCTAAAAAGTGAAACCCATCAAACTAACAGCAAACCTTTCAGCGGAAACTCCACAAACCAGAAGAGATTGAAGGCTTATATTCAGCATTTTTAAAGAAAAGAATTTGCAACCAATAATTTTATATCTAGCCAAACTAAGCATCATAAGCAAAGGAGAAGTAAGACAAGCAAATGGTGATGGAATCCATTAACCCTGGACATGCCTTACAAAAGGTTCTGTAAGGAGTGCTAAATATGGACAAGAAAGAATGTTATGCACCACTACAAAAACACACTTAAGTAAACTGACCACTGAGAATATAAGACAACCACAAAAACAAGTCTACATAATAACCATTTACCAACACCATGACAGGATCAAATCTCCACATACCAATATTAATGCTGGATGTAAATGGGCTCAATGGCACCAATTAAAAGGCACAGAGTAGCAAGCTGGATAAAGAAGCAAGACCCAATGGTATGCTGTCTTCTAGAGACTCATCTCACATGCAATTGAGAGGTGAAGCCAGCTGGGCTTCTGGGTCGGCTGGGGACTTGGACCACTTTTCTGTCTAGCCAAAGGATTGTAAATTCACCAATCAGTGCTCTGTGTCTAGCTAAAGGTTTGTAAATGCACCAATCAGTGCTCTGTGTCTAGCTAATCCGGTAGGGGACTTGGAGAACTTTTCTATCTAGCTAAAGGATTGTAAATGCACCAATCAGCGCTCTGTGTCTAGCTAAAGGTTTGTAAATGCACCAATCAGCACTCTGTAAAACAGACCAATCAGCACTCTGTAAAACGGACCAATCAGCACTATGTAAAATGGACCAATCAGCTCTCTGTAAAATGGACAAATCAGCAGGATGTGGGTGGGGCCAAATAAGGGAATAAAAGCAGGCCACCTGAGCCAGTAGCGGCAACCCACTGCGGGTCCCCTTCCCTGCTGTGTAAGCTTTGTTCTTTCACTCTTCACAGTAACTCTTGCTGCTGCTCACTGTTTGGGTCCACACTACCTTTATGAGCTGTAACACTCACCGAGAATGTCTGCAGCTTCACTCCTGAAGCCAGCGAGACCACAAACCCACTGGGAGGAATGAACAACTCTGGATGCACTGCCTTTATGAACTGTAATGCTCACTGCGAAGGTCTGCAGCTTCACTCCTGAAGCTAGTGAGACAACAAATCCACCGGGAGGAATGAGCAACTCTGGACACACCACCTTTATGAACTGTAACACTCGCTGCAAGGGTCTGCGGCTTCATTCTTGAAGTCAGCGAGACCAGCGAGACCAAGAATGCACCAGAAGGAACTAATTCTGGACACACAATGACATCCATAGGCTCAAAGTAAAGGGATAGAGAAAAATCTACCAAGCAGCGGTTGCTATCCTAATTTTAGTAAAACAGACTTTAAACCAAAAAAGATTTTTTAAAAAGACAAAGAAGGGACTGACATAATAGTAAAGTATTCAATTCAATAATACCTGACTATCCTAAATATATGTATGCACTTGACACAGGAGCACCAAGACTCATAGAGAAAGTTCTTAGATACCTACAAAGAGAGTAAGATTTCTACACAATAATCACGGGAGATGTCAATACCCCACTGATGGTATTAGACAGATCATAGAGGCACAAAGTTAACAAAAATATTCAGGACTTGAACTCAACACTTGACCAAATGGACCTAACAAATCTACAGAACTCTCCACTCAAAAACAACAGAATATACATTCTTCTCATCACAACATGGCATGGACTCTACAATCAACCACACAATTGGACATAAAACAATCAACAAATTCAAAAAAACTGAAATCATACCAACCACTCTCTCAGACCACAGCTCAACAAAAATAGAAATCAATACTAAGAAAATCACTCAAAACCATATAATTACATGGAATTTCAACAACCTGCTCCTGAATGACCTTTGGTTAATCAATGAAATTAAGGCAAAAATCATGAAATTCCTTGACTGTAATGAGAACAAAGATACAACATGCCAGAATGTCTAGGAAACAGCTAAAGCAGTGTTAAGAGGAAAGTTTATAGTGCTAAATGCCCACATGGAAAAGTCTGAAAGATCTCAAATTAACAACCTAACATCATCACCTAGGGGAACTAGAGAAACAAGAGCAAACCAACCCAAAAGCTAGCAGAAGACATGAAATAGCCAAAATCAGAGCTGAACTTAAGGAAATCAAGACTGGAATAAACATACAAAAGATAAAGATCAATGAATCCATGAGTTTTTTAAATAATAAATAAGGTAGACCATTAGCTAGCGTAATAATGAATAAAAGAAAGAAGGTCCAAATAAGCACAATAAGAAATGACAAAGGGACATGACCAATACACCACAGAAATACAAAAAAACCCTCAGAGACTACTATACAAAACTCTGTGCACACAAACTTAAAAACCTATGAGAAATGTATAAATTCCTGAAAACATACAACCTCCCAAGATTGAACTAGGAAGAAACTGAATCCCTGAACAGACCAATAATGAGTTCCAAAATTGAATCGGTAATAAAAAGGCTACAAATAAGAAAGAGCCAGGACCACAGCCAAATTCTACCAGATGTATAAAGAAGAGCTGTTACCATTTCTATTGAAACTATTCCAAAAATTTGAGGAGAAGGAACTCCTCTCCAACTCATTCTATAAGGCCAGCATCATTCTGATACCAAAACCCAGGAGACATACAACAACAACAACAAAAAGAAAATGTCAGGCCGATATCCTTGATGCACATAGATGCAAAAATCCTCAACAGAATACTAACCATCTGAATCCAGGAGCACACTGAATAGCTAATCCACCATGATCAAGTAGGCTTTATCCCTGGGATGCAAGGTTGGTTCAATATATACAAATCAATAAATGTGATCCATCATATAAACAGAACTAAAAACAAAAGCCACACGATTATCTCAATAGATTCAGAAAAGGCTTTTGATAAAATTCAACATCCCTTCAGGTTAAAACCCTCAACAAACTAGGCATTGAACAAACATACTTTAAAATAATAAAAGCCATCTATGACAAACCCACAACAAACATCATACTGAATGGACAAAAGCTAGAAGCATTCCCCTTGAAAACCAGCACAAGACAGGGATGCCCTCTCTCACCACTCCTATTCAACATAGTAATGGAAGTCTTGGTCAGAGAAATCAGGCAAGAGAAAGAAATAAAATATCTAGATAGTAAGAGAGACCATCAAACTATTGCTGTTTGCAGATGATATGATTCTATTCCTATAAAACCTTGTTGTATCAGCCCCAAAATTCCTTGATCTAATAAACAACTTCAGCAAAGTTTCAGGGCACAAAATTCAGTAGCATTCCTATATAACATTTAAGCTGAGAGCCAGATCAAGAATGCAATCCCATTTACAACAGCCACAAAAAGAATAAAATACCTAGGAATACATCTAACCAGGGAGGTGAAAGATCTCCATAACAAGAATTATAAAACACTACTCAAAGACATGAGAAATGACAGAAATAAATGGAAAAACATTCCATGCTCAGGGATAAGAAGAATCAATATTGGTATAACAAACATACTGCCAAAAGCAATTTACAGATTCAATGCTATTCCTATCAAACTACCAATGGCATTCATCACAGAATTAGGAAAAAAAAAGACTTTTAAAATTCAAGTTGAACCAAATAAGAGATTTAATAGCCAAGACAACCTTAAGCAAAAAGAACAAAGCTGGAGGCATTATGTTACCCAGCTTTACATTATACTACAAGCCTACAGTAACCAAACAGCATGATATTGTTACAAAAACAGATACATAGACCAACGGAACAGAATAGAGAGCCCAAAAATAACGCCAGACACCTACAACCATCTGATCTTCAAGAAAGTTGACAAAAACAAGCAATGGGGAAAGAATTCCCTATTCAATAAATGTGCTGGGATTACTGGCTAGCCATATGCAGAAGATTGAAACTGGACCCTTTCCTTATACCATACATATGGTGGGTATGTAAATTTGTTCGGCCATTGTGAAAAGCAGTTTGGTGATTTCTCAAAGAACTCAAATCAGAATTACTACTCAATACAGCAATCCCATTATTGAGTACATACCCAAAGGAATATAAATCATTTTACCATAAAGACACATGCATATTTATGTTCATCACTGTACTATTCACAATAGCAAAGATGTGGAATCAGCCTAAGTGCTAATCAATGTTAGATTGGATAAAGAAAATGTGGTACATATGTACCATGGAATACTATGTAGCCATAAAAAAGGAGATCATGCCCTTTGCAACAACATAGAGCTGGAGACCATTATGCTAAGAGAACTGACACAGGAACAGAAAACCAAATACTGCATGTTCTCACTTATATGTGGGAGCTAAACATTGAGTACACATTGGCACAAAGAAGGGAGCGAGAGATGCCAGGGCCTACTTGAGGGTAGAGGGAGGGAGCAGCATAAGGATCAAAAAACTACCTGTGGAGCACTGTGCTTATTACCTGGGGTAGTGAAATAATCTGTACACGAAACTCCTGAAACATGCAATTTACCCATATAACACACCTGCACATTTACACATGAACCTGAAATAAAAGTTAAAAAGAAAAACAGTGTATAGGCAAGCCAGAGACTGTCAGAAAATATTTGCAAAGCATATATCTGTTAAAAAAACTTATATCCATAATATACAAATGACTCCTACAACTCAATCTAATTAAGAAAATGAGAAAAGATTTAAATAGGCACTTCACAGAGGAACAAACAGAAATACCCAATAATCTCATGAAACAGTCCTAGCATCATTAGATATCAGAGAATTGCACATTATAAACACAATCCGGTATCATTACATGCCCATTTGAATGGCTAAAATTTAAAAAGACTGACAATACCAAATGTTGATGAGGATATGAAATAACTAGAATGTTCATATATTGCTGGTGAAAGTGTAAATGGTGCAACCACTTTAACAAAATGTTTGGCAATTTCTTATAAAATTAAATATACCTGTATCTATGACTTAGTGATTCCAATTCAGACGTTCAACCAAGAGAAATGGAATCCTTATGTTCTCAAGATTTACACAAAAATGTTCATTGTAGTTTTATTTATATTAGCCAGAAACTGGAAGTAACCCAAATGCTACTCATCAAGAGGGAACAGATAAACAAAGAGCATGGCTTGGTTTCTTTTAGCAACCAAAAGAAACAAACTGTAGATATACATATAACAACATGTATAAATCCAGCAGTCATTATAATGAGTGAAAGAAGCCAGATACAGAAGAGTCACTGCACGATTCCATAAATAGAAGTTCTAGATGAGGCAAAACTAGCCTATAGTGATAGAAATCAGGAAACTAGCTACTCCTGAGGGGTATATACTGACGGGAAAGGGGCACAAGGGACCTTTCTAAGGTGATGGAAATGTCTTACATCTTGATGAGACAGGAGAAACATGGGTCTAGATGTTTGTCTAATTTCCTGAACTATGCACTTGATATCTGTGCACAAATTATTTTGCTCTAGTAAATTTTATTCCAAAAAGCTGTTAAAAAGTTGAATTCTAGTTAGTAGATTTGCTTTTCTGGCTGTGGTGTAGGTTAGCAATTCTGAAATTGCTTTCTTGTATTCCAAGTCGAGCAAACAGACACATATATTGAATATAACAAATGTGAAGTTAGGTTTCTTACTTTTGGAAAAGAGTTACAAATGAGAAAATTAGGACACCAGAATGCATCCTGTAGTTTGAGACTGGAATCAGAGGTATCAGTATGAACTCATGGTTTTTCATCGATAGGCACATAGATATAGAAATAAAAATCAACATATATTCACTAATGCTTCTGGCTGACAGGGCCTAGAAGTATTAACATATCAGTAGCAACGAGTACACCTAGTGTCCAGATCTTGACTTCTAAATGCCATCCACTTCTCAATGGAAGCAAAGCTGTGTGGATGAAAGGCTGATTCCAGGGTGTGGACAAGGAAAATACAAAATGAGCCTAGAATAACATGTGCCAGAAAGTAAGGAAATCCTCAAGAATGATGGGGAGGTATCAAAAGGCACAAAAACTAATATGAAGTGGCTTTCAATGGATAAATCTGGGAAAATTTGAGCATCTGAATAAATAATAATAGTATTTAAATATTTACGGCTATAATGGATTATAGACATAGAATAAAACAAGAATACATGAATCCCATTGATATCATAAATAAACAAATAAATAAATGAGAGACATGGGAAAGCTCTTCCTTTCAGCAGAATGTCAATTATTCAATTTGAAAGGAATAATGGAATTACAAATTAACAATGGATGCAAAAACTAGTAGGTAGAAGTTTGACAGAAAAAAGATATTTAAATAGTGTCAAAGTTTCTTCTTACAAATTAATTATTATTTAGCAAGGGTGAAACACTCGTTTTACTGTGGAGAAACCTGGCAGACACAGTGATCAAAGTTTACATTGCCAGCCAGGCACAGTGGCTCAAGCCTGTAAACCCAGCACTTCGGGAGGCTGAGGTGGGCGGATTGCTTGAGCTCAGGTGTTTGAGACCAGCCTGGGGCAACATAATGAAAACCCATCTCCACAAAATTACAAAATTTAGCTGGGCATGGTGGTGCGTGACTGTAGTCTCAGCTACTCAAGAGGCTGAGGTGGGAAAATCATCTGATCCTGGGAGGTCGAGACTACAGTGACCTGTGATCGCACCACTACTCTCCAGTCCAGGTGACAGAGAGAGATTCTGTCTGAAAAAAAAAAATTACATTGCCAGTATTGAATACACTGACATCATGTGCCTCCTGAAATCATGTGCTGAGAACACAACATCACTTCTGTAGTATTCTTGCCAAAAATGTATATTCTGAATCCAATTATGGATAAACAGACAAATAAAACTGAGGGACATATTGCAAAATAGCTAGCCGTGTTTTCAAAACTCTCAAGGTCAAGAAAGACAAAGAAAGGTGAGGAACTGTCCCAGGTGAAAGTACACTAAAGAGACAGGACAACTAAGCTCAATGCTTGATTTGGGCTTGGATCTTGAGCCAAAAAACAAACAGAGAAAGGAGACAATATAGGGCAAATAGATGAAATGTGAATATAAACTGTGGAATAGATAATATTGTATTCATGTTACATTTTCTTTTTTTGATCATTTCATAACTGCAGTTATGACAGAAATTGTACTTGTTCTTTGGAAATACACACTCAAGAATTTATGGGTAAAGGGATGAGATGCCTCCAACTCACTTTCAAACACTTCAGAAAAAAATAATAAATACATAGAGACATATTAATAGAATAATAAAGCATATGAAAAAGAATGTAAATAATTGAAGGTGAAGGGTGCTCAGAAGTTCCTAGTACTATTCCTCTAACTTTTCTATAAGTGCAAAAGTATGTGAAAATAATAAGTAAAAACAAACAACACACATGGCTTAGTGCAAGAAGATACTAATGAGATGCAAATTATGTTCTTCTTTGGACCACCACCAATAGGTTTCAAGTAGTGCTATTATAATTGAAAGGTTACTATGCTAGAAGTTGGTAAACATGTCTTTGGAATTAATTTGACCTTGAGAAAGTCATTGAATTTTCTTGGCCTTAGTGCTTTGAGCCCCCAGATAAAGAGGCTGAATGAACTATTTGACATCTAAGATTTCTGTTAATTCTAAAATGTTGTAATTCTTAGAAATGATCTTTTAACAGAATTGTGCTTCCACAGGTAATATGATTAGTAGGATAGATTTTCTAGTTCAGTTACAGTTAAAACTCATAGAGGTAAAAGGGCAGTAAGTAGAGTAGAAATGTTTTTCTATTCTCAATTCTCTTTATTTAATTGCTATGCCATTTTAGCATCTTATCTTTTTTTTTTAATTTCATGCCTCAGTTTAGAAAACATTAACTACCACTGGACCTGTATATGTTGTTCTCTTTGCTTTCAGTTAGAAATATGATTTTTATTTATTTAATAAATAATATAGCATTTACCATATGCTCACTGTTCCAAGTGGTGTGTGTACGTAAATTCATGTGTGTATATGCTTATGCATATGCATGTGTATAAACTCATTTAACTATCATAATAACCCTATGAAGTATGTACTATTATTATTTCCACTTTATAGGCAGGGAAACTAAGGTACAAAAAGATACCTACAGTCCTACTGCTAATAAGTGGCTGTTTTAAAACAATTAGACATCTGAACCTGGGTAGTATGGCTACAGAGATTATATTCTTAACTACTACTTTATATTGCCTCTCAAATATTATGTAAATGTAATTTCTAGTGTAGAATAGCCCCAGACATTCAAAAATTCCATGACAAAAAGTAGGCTTGGTTATCAAACTATTTATGTATTTATGCTTTTGCCAAAATCTGATACCTGGATTTTGACCCATATATTAATACATATCATATACATGTTGTATATGCATAGCCTCATGTTCCAGATCTACTGCTAATATTTTCTCATCTTGATATTTATGCATATATATTTCATTTTGAGTTTTTACATTTAAAGTGCTGAGACTTGGCACATCCTTCCATGTGAACTTTCTGCCACATTGACTTTGCTCTTTCCCCTTCAGCAGCTTGGAAGCAGTAACGTGAAAGGGCTCAGAAGCTGTCTCTTGCGCATCCTTTGCAGAAAGCAGCAAATGAAGCACAGCCCTGCTGCAGCATACCTGATAGTCTCAGCCCAAGGGGAAAGAATGAG
The DNA here is from genome assembly GCF_000001405.40 of Homo sapiens. Taxonomy (NCBI): domain Eukaryota; kingdom Metazoa; phylum Chordata; class Mammalia; order Primates; family Hominidae; genus Homo; species Homo sapiens. Next base: position 85,545,481 of record NC_000004.12, on the reverse strand, counting down.
GCTCATGCGCTAGGTCCTTTATGAAGAGAAAATTAGCAATGAAAGTGACATAGTACTTTTTGCCTTTAAAAAAAGGAAACTGGGCCAGGTGTGGTGGCTCACGTCTGTAATCCCAGCACTTTCGGGGGCTGAGGTGGGTGGATCACCTGAGGTTAGGAGTTTGAGACCAGCCTGGCCAACTTGGCGAAACCCCGTCTCTACTAAAAATACAAAAATTAGCCCGGTGTGGTGGTGGGTGCCTGTAATCCCAGCTACTCGGGAGGCTGAGGCAGGAGAATCGCTTGAACCCACGAGGCGGAGGTTGCAGTGAGCAGAGATCGCGCCATTGCATTCCAGCCTGGGCGACAAGTAAAACTCCATCTCAAATTAAAAAATTTAAAAAAAAAAGAAACTGTAGAGCACTGGATCATTTTAGTTGAGAAAGTACAAGGATATAAGTCCTAAGAATTTCATGATAGCATGGCTAGTGAGTGTTAATTCAGTCCGTGTGACACGATCTGCAGTCACCTGTGTAGCGCAGTCAGGCCTCCCTAGATGCTAGGGAGTTACTCATGCAAATCAAACCCCAAGCTCAACTTTCAAGAGAACTGGACTGGCGAAAAAAAGAAAAGCTGAACAACTGTTAAGAAAAGGTGTTTTAAATGCCAGTGGAATTATCTGAGAAAGATGAAAGGCAGGGAGTTGTAACAATTGTAAGGACTAACTGGAATCCATCATATTTTAACATGTCTGACTCATTGTCTTGCAAAAAAATTTACATATATGTATGTGTATATATATATGTATGTGTGTATATATATATACATATATGTATGTATATAAATGGCTTCACATAAATTCCAAATACTCCTGAAAAAACCCTTAAAATTAGAGCTGATGGCCCTGCTATATATAGGATCCAAGAGGCTAAAGTAACTTTCTCAAGGCATAAACCCAGCAAGTATCTGAGAAAGAACATGAATGTACATTTTTTGATCTAGATGCTGAAGTTTTTCCCTTCCTTTTGTTCCTATTGAACAATACCACTTCACATTTAGACCATCAGCTTATACAGTTCAGTACCTTATACTAACTAGGGTTTCCAAAATGTAAAGAAATGAATAAAGGAATAATTAAACAGAAAGTAGGCACTTGAATATTTAATAGATTAAAGCTTAACATAGTTACAAAAATGTCTAAGACAAAATTAACAAATCATTGAGGAAATACTCTAATAGTATTTACTTTTCATAGTGATACTTTAGAATTTCAAGAATTTAAACATAAAATGGAGACATTAAATTAAGGGTCATTTACAAAAATTTGCATATTGAGAATTATCAGCCTGGCAGTAGTACTGACAGGTGGGCCCCTTATGGACTCAGAAACTGGGAAGACAATGAAGTCATCATTTAGATGAGAGGCAAAAGGCTGGCAGTGGGAGGAGAACAAAGCTGTTTAGCATGGAGAGAATGAGAATGGTGGAGTAAAGGAATGTTTTGGTTGTGGGAGCAGGAAAAATTACATCATCAACTGTTGGTGTAGTTGAGACAAGGAGGATGATGATTTAATCTGGGTTATTTAGCTTTCTGTGAATGATGAAACTACTATGAACTGCTACTAACTACTACTTCTACTACGACTACTACTAAAACTACTACTAACTACTAACTCAAATTACAACCTTCAAGTGAAAAGAAAAATAAAACATATTTTAAGGATTATAGGAAAAAAATTCTGCTTCCTAACACGGCTATGGAATGTAACATTCAGATCAATCAAATATGAAGACTAGTGATGTCGTCTTACATAACATAAACAAGTAGCCAATTTCCAATTAATTAGAAAAAATAATCATATTATTAACACTATCATAAACACAATTCAGGCTTGATTTAAGATTCAGAAGCCATTCAGAATCTTGTAATACTATAAAATCAGTTAGTAGTAGTTTTATCATTCACAGAATGCTAAATAACCTGGATTCAATCATCATTTCACCTTTCCCAACTATACCAACAGTAGAAGATGTCATTCTTCCCGCTCCCACAACCAAAACATTTCTTTAGTCTGTCCTCCGCATTCCCTCCATGCTAACCAGCTTTGTCCACCCTTCACTGCCAGCCCTTTGCCTCACATCTAAATGATGACTTCATTGTTCTTCCCAGTTTTAGAGCTTCTAGAGGCTCACCTCTCAGTACTATCACCAGGCCGATACTTCTGAAACATGTGTTTTATATAATCCAAAACTTTCAATAGCTGCCAAATGCAGAGCATGCCATGTTCAAACTTAGTCTCATGTTCAAGGTGTCATAATCTAGCCCAATATACCTTTCCAATTTATTGTTCATTATTTTCCTCCAGTAAGTGCCCTATGAGGGAGTCTTCCAAATCTGTCTATTCCATGTAACCCAAATATGCAGTGCTCGTCCTTGCCTCTTTCTTATTGGAACTTACTACAGCTAAAATTAGCAGCAGCATCGTTAGCAGCAGCTTCAAGAGCAAACGTTATATATTATTTACTATGGACCAGGCAATGTTGTAAGTGCTTAATACATATAACTCACATAATCCTCACAATAACCCCGTTAAATAGATGCTATTATTATCATCCCTATTTCACAGATGGTCCAAAACAACTAAGTAACTCATGCAAGTTCACACAGCTAGTAAAAGAATAGAACCAGAATTCAAGCCAAGCAGTTTGGTTCCAAAATTCTACACTCAACCACTATCAATATGTCTCTCAATTACCTATTAATACACTGTATTCATTGTCAGAAATTTAACTAGTCATTAATTATTTCATACATGCTACTTTTATCTCTTTAATGTCTTTATTTCTTTTGTTTTATTTCCCCCTTTAATATTGAATATATAGTTAGCTCTAAGCATGACTGTCCCTAAGGGAGACCATTTTATTCAAATATTTTATCTGAAAAGCATACATATGAAAAGCATAGATTCATGCATTCTGATTAGTCAAACTGCACAGAAATAGATTTCCTACCGCCAACAGAGTCATTTGAAACAGGGCTGGCCTGTGGCAAGGGGACTGAGAGGAGAAAGATGGGACCATGCGCTAGGCAGTAGCTACAAGAGAATTCCTACATCAGAGGCTCTGCAGGACAGCTTTCTGCTTGCAAGGTGGACCAGAGATTCAAAAAACTTGCTTTGAAGCTATAGTTAACAAACAAGTACACTTACTTCAATTATAGGTTGTATATCAATAAAAATAGCAGCATTTCCCAAGGATATTCTTACTTATACGCTACATAAGATTAGGAAAGCATACACAAGCCATATTAATTAAATTAATAATTCATTAAATTAAGCATTGAGGAGAGTGGACTGCACCCCACTAACACCTCAAAATTTTATTGAGCCACTGGTGACTGACGCATGCTGATGACCTGATGAAGGAAGAGTTAAAGGTTTTAAGATGCTTATAGAAGGGTCACCTCTTTACTTTCAAATGAAGCATAACTCCTGTAAGCTTTTTGAAGGAGAAGCACTATTTTAAAATACTTATGCATAGGAATACATATATAAAACTCTAAGTCTAGAAATTTGGGTAAAATTCTAATTTCTTTCTAATAGTGTACTAGGTCAGGCCTTCCACACTATCGTGAAGAATAAAAGCTCATTGTTTGAGGTCCAACTCAAACGTCAACCCACCTGTGAAGTTTTCTTCTGCATAATTAATCACTCCTTCTTCTGTTTTTTTATGGCATTTTATAAGTATCTCTATTGTTTCAGTGATTACGTGATATAATTACTACTTAGAAAATGTGCTGATCTTGACTTCTAGCCTGTTATCAACCCAAATATCTATCAAGAATTGAATGAATAAACTATGATATCATCATGCAATTGGTACAACTCAGCAATGAAAAGGAACTGATTACTAATTTTTGAAATAATATGGATTATTTTCAAAAAATTATGTTAAGCTAAAGACGCTAGACACAAAAAAATATATATTGTTGTCAAGAATTGTGAAGGATCTGGGATTTTACCCAATGAGCAAGTTATTAAAGGTCATGGATGGGCCGGGCGCGGTGGCTCACGCCTGTAATCCCAGCACTTTGGGAGGCCGAGGCGGGCGGATCACGAGGTCAGGAGATCAAGACCATCCCGGCTAAAATGGTGAAACCCCGTCTCTACTAAAAATACAAAAAATTAGCCGGGCGTAGTGGCGGGCGCCTGTAGTCCCAGCTACTTGGGAGGCTGAGGCAGGAGAATGGCGTGAACCCGGGAGGCGGAGCTTGCAGTGAGCCGAGATACCGCCACTGCACTCCAGCCTGGGCGACAGAGCGAGACTCCGTCTCAAAAAAAAAAAAAAAAAAAAAAAAAAAAAGGTCATGGATGCTAGCAGAAGACACAAGACTCCTGGGTCAAAAACGGAGGACTGTTATTCACAGCAATAGGATCAGTGAAAGTATCACACCTGCACAAATACCGGATTGTGTTACAGGCAAGAAACCTACAGTTTTGGGAACCTAAATCTATTATAATATATATTAAGCCCAGAGGGACACATTATCTTTAGTAAACTGCACAGTAACAAACCTTCCCTTTTGTAAGGAGTAAGACATCTTTAGCTTCCAAGGCTGTTCACTATACAAACACCTGTAAAAAAATACTTCTAAGCAAAAGCAGTGCCTCTGCTAACAAGACAAGCAGAATTTTATAAGACTCATGGAGAATTGTTTGCTAATAATTATATATTTTCATTCATATAGCATTCTGAAATAGGCAAAACTAGTCTATGGTGGGGAAAAAATCAGAAGAGTTATTGCATGGAGCCAGATGTGATTATAAATACAAGGAAAATTTCTGGCGTGAAGAAAATATTTTATATTTTGTATAAGGTGATTGTTACAAGGGTATATATATTTGTCAAAACTCATCAGACTGTACACTTAATGTATACATAAACTGTATGTAAATTATGTATATACATGTTGTAGTAAACTATGCTCCAATAAAATTGATAGAAACATATGCTGCTTATAGCTGCTTATAACTTCTAGACTGGTATCATCTCAAGGGCAAGGATTTTATTGTATTCATCTATCTTGCTGACTACTGAGAAGAAATTAGCCAACTGAGTATTCTTAGTAGGTGCATCAGAAGATTGGTCACATTGAATTATTGGCGATGTTTAAAATAGGCCTCTGGGTATTCTTCCTTATTGAATATTGATTTGAAATACCACTACATTAGATTTTTAAAAATTTTATTTGTGTTTATTTATAAATATTGATATGATATTTCAAGGAGCCATAAAAAATTTTTATTTTTAAAAATAAATCCTCTAAACACTAAATTATTTTGATGGAGATTAATTTTAATAATGTGATGAGTGGTTTAAAAATAAAAACTCATGCTAGTAAAAATAAGGTGTTTATTTTTATTTTTATTTATTTTATTTTATTATGTATTTATTTATTTTTAGACAGAGGCTTACTCCATTGCCTAGGCTGGAGTGCAGTCGCACAATCTCTGCTCACTGCAACCTCTGCCTCCTGGGTTCAAGCGATTCTCCTGCCTCAGCCTCCCAAGTTGCTGGGACTACAGGAACCCGCCACCACACCCAGCTAATTTTTGTAGAGATGCGGGTTCACAATGTTGGCAGGCTGGTCGCAAACTCCTGACCTCAGGTGATCCACCCACCTCAGCCTCCCAAAGTGAAGGTCATTTTAAAAGTCATTATTTTCCATATTGTAAACCTAGTTCTGTCACTCCTTCAGAAACACAATACTTTTCAAATCTTCAGAATAAAGACATCAGAAAAAGTGTTTCAAATTTGAAAGTTGCAAAGGCTTTTTTTCAATTTTCCTTTCACTTAAGCAATTTAAATTTAGTAAAACTACCTGGTATCTATTAGATGGTAATTTAGCCTAGAAAAGCCTAAAAAGCAAAATTACAGTTTATTTTCTATAATAACAGAATTTCAAACACTTTCTTCTCAATATGTACTTTGATATGATTTTTCAAATTTGTTTTATAGATTATGACCATTTATTTCTTCAAACAACATTTTAATGTGTGTTAAATAATTCTCTTAACTCACATTAAAATGTTGTTTGAAAAAGTAAGACAGTGGATCTAAATTAAGCAGTAAAATGGTTTGTCAGCTTAGTACAAAAAAAATTGCAAGTTTAAAAAGTTTGCCTTACTCATACATCTCTTTATGTTACCTTTTATTTCTCTAGTAAAGACTTGGAAGGAAGGAAAGTAATTCTCTCATTTGCTAAATGGAACATATAGGAAACCATTTTATCTTCATTCCTAACAAAAATACCATCTTGTAGCTTTGTGTTTGTAGCTTTGCTGTATAGATAAACCAAATCGTTTTGGTTCAGATCTTAGAGACTGTGCAAAGCTTTATATTCAGGAGCCGAGACTTTCTCATTGTGTAAAAAAACCTCTCATATTCCATGATATATTTACCATTTACACATTCCCACAACTGTCTGTGAATTCAATGACAGTATTAATTAAATGTACATTAGCAGAAAAGTGGAAACGAATTCTTTGCAAAATCCATCAGGACCCAAATGTCATTAGTAATGTAAAGTAAATTGGAATGCCAATATTTACAATATTGGCCCTTTATCATTGTATAATAAAATCAACTTTCTCTTATAAGCTCAGAAGCTATTGATGACTGATAGAAATCAAAATTTGTTGAGTTTGATTATTTCCAATAACTGAATAGGTATACACATCTCTATACTGATACCAAGATCTCAAAAGTCTTTGTTATGTCATGGTAACTATACCCTCAAACATAAAATCAAATACTTACTCTTCTTTGGTAGAATTCTCAAAGTCAATGAGTCATGGTAAGAGAGTTCAAAATATTTTTAGGTAGTAGTTCAATTACAAGTCAAATAGGTGCGTGGAGACACAATTATACCAGTAGAGAATACACAGTTCAGTGGATGGGGCTTTACTGACCATCCTGTGTCTTACAGAGGGGCACTTGGAGGCCATTGCACACCATAATAAGTATAGTTGCCTTTCCCTCACAGCTTACTGATGAGGTTGAACCCCACCAAATTGCCATTATATTATAGGGTTTTGCATGCAAAAATTGCAATATCATATAATTTAACCTAATATAAAGTCAAAATAGTAAAATAAAAATAATCAACATATAACTACGGTGTACTCAAAATACATTGCTCATTTAAGAGTCTTTTATAGGCAGATTTATTTGCAAAAAGGAAGTAATAATTTTCTACTTCCTTTCTTGAGCCCTGATATTAAAACTGTTGAGCAAATATTTCAGATCTGAGTGTTTAAATTACCCCTTGTTTCTTATCTCACTTCATACCTCAAAATCCTAGAAAGGAGAAACCTGTGAAGATGTTATTTGGTTACCCCTCCCTAACTATTAATGATTACCAGGGTAAAGCATAAGTGGCTTTCTCCCAAAGTGGCACCAATGATTGTTTTTTTTTTTCTTGGATTGCTAAATTTGTTCACTAAGTGTACATCTTCCCTAAATTATCAAGTCATACTTCAGCCTTGGTATACATATCTGTACCTTTAAAGAAGTATCTTTCCATCAAGGTCAGAAAAACCCTGACACCAATATACAAGTGAAAGGTTGAGAATATGTTAGATGACTTGTACGCACCATATCTGGGCTTTCTCTGAATACATTTGAATGACTGCTTTTAAGCTTTCCAATTCCCAAAATGTAAATCAGTCTCTAGGGGCAATCTGCAATAATTAAAATATTTTCCTTTAGTGGTATGCTGGCCACTAATGGCCAGATAGCATTGCCGTTTGTAGCAAAGCTTACTTAGTGATGCCAGGAGTTCATTCCAATCCTTAAGAAAGTTTTCTATAATTTCAAATGCCAACAGACAAAAGAAGAATTTAAAAACTCAAATAGGCAATACTCTTTTTTTTTGTATGAGAACATACCTTACCCTAGGAAAATTTTCAAAATTTAGCAGGAAGAAATTACTTTTCCCTACAGGAATCTGCTAGCTTTATATGGATTTTTACAGCTGCATTGTTTTTGCTAACATTCCTTCATACTAGAATCCTGCATTTCTACTGCTCAAAATATAGACCTTCTGCCTGGGACCAGAGTCAATAATCAAGAAAGGAAAAGAAAGAATGTTGGAATATAAATGGCTGAGCACAAGAGGAGAGACCTTGCATCAATAGTCAATGTGTTTTTCTCTAATTGAGTCTTAGGTCTAAGCCTTATCTTACGAACCAGATGGAAAACCTCTCAAGGTCAAGAATCGTGTCTTATAATTCCTTCGTGTACAGCCCAGAATTGAATATAAAGCAGGTGCTCAATAGGTGCTTGTCCATTGATTGAAGTGTGAATGATAAGGAGACTATGGAAAAAAACACCAGTAGAATATAGAGCATCTAACATACTGTAGTCCTCAGTAATGATGATTTTCCTTCTCTGAATTAATATTCCCTTGAATAAATTGAGAAAAATAATGAGGATTTTCCTCACAACATGTGCTTAGAATACCAAGGTCTCCCATATTGTCCACAGTAGAAATGCAATAAATTGTTGTGCCTTTGAATATTGGTCTTTGATAAAGCACTGTATAAAATCACCTATGACCTAAAATGTTGATATGCTTTTATTGCTACATATCTATAAATACTCTCATACACAAAGGTACCATTCTTCAAATCACCTAACTTACCTAATGAGAATTTATCATTAACAGTTTTAGCAAAAGACAATTCTTCCTCACTTTTCTCTATCTCCCCGAAAGATGTATAATTAAGTTCACAAAATGTATCTATTATAAATACTGCCTGTCATATATGCTATTATTATTTAGCAAAATCCCTGTAATTTTTGTTGTCTGAACACTGCTTTCATTCTGATCAAAAGCCTCTATACCTTTTGTTTACCAGTTAAATCACTCCAACAGCCATTTATTAAAATTAGGTAGATGTATTAATTAGAGTTTGAATGAGTGATAAAAAAGTGTATAACTTTTTTGGAAAAGACTTTAAAACAAAGTCAAAGATAAGTGGTAAGGACAGTAAAAATAGTATATATTACTCACTATTCCAATAGTCATCTGAAAAGAAAATCATTTATAGGTGATAAAGTGATTCACAAGTTTATCAAATAACTGAGAAGCAAACAAGGCTGAAACATTACCTTTCTCACAGAAGTGGTTTTTGACCTCCCTGAGAAGAAGGGTTTATGTGTTCATAGCACCACATTCTTCTCTTTTGTGGCACTTGCCACAAATATAGTTTTATATTCATTTGTGTGGTTCTTTATTAGTGTCTAGTCATGTAAGTTGATCCTAGGTTCTCTGAGAGTAATTAGCATGTCCTTTTTTTTTTGTACTGGAGTAAGGATTCTGATTATATCACTCAACTGAAACAGTGTCTGACACATTAAAGGCAGTCAATAAATACTGCTGTCAAATTTGTTGAATGAATGGAACACAGGTGGAAGTTAAACACCAGCGATGTAAACTAAGTCATGGTATACCTGTCACAATAAACGTCACGAGACACAGGCAATCAACAACTAGGGATACTAAAATGGAGCCCTCATGTTTTTGACATTCAGAAGAGCTTCAGAGAATTGAAAGAGAAATGAAAAAACAGTGACTAATGAGAATGAACTAGCAATTTTACTCTTCCAAGAACATCAATAGTGAAGAAAATAAAGCCATAACTTAGGAATACCGGTTTCTAAAACTAGATAGGGGGGAGACATATTCATAGACATACATACACATCTATATACAACAAAACCACGTTGTAGAAGCTTCTATAAACTCCACCGTAGTCTCTTTGTTAGAGTGCAGAAGAGGGAAAGAAGGTTGAGAAGAATTTGATGGCCAATAGGATGGGCTATGTGATTCAGATGGGACAACATTTGCTTTGGAAATGATTATTCACCATAACCAAATCACATCCCTTATTCTGCGTTTTTATGACTTCCTTTGTTTTATTCATCACCAGAATTGACAAATGGGATGACCTGGGTACTTTTTCTATCTCTAGACCTCCCTGAGCTCTTCGGAACTTTAATTTGTGTACTACCAATAACATTGTAAGTGCCAACTTCTACATTCTTAAATTTTTACCATACATATCTGATTCCCACATTTCAATTAGTAGTTGTATGTTATCCAGTTGAATGTGTGGTCTTCATATATAAGTAGGATACTTTGTGTCTAGCTTGAAATAGTGAGGAGCAATTTTGGGTATAATGACCACTTTGACTCCAGCTTTTTAAAAAACTTTCTTTTCTTTAACAAAAAAGGTGTGATTTATTTACTATCTATTAAAACTATAAATAAATGAATAGGGGTACAAAAATGCATCTTTGTGCATTGGAAAATCTATCAGTATCTAAAACTGAGCTTTTACATTTGAATCAAGGAAATAACATATTTAGAGTTTGAGTTGGACTATGTATGTTTCATATACTTCAACTCTTTATCTTGAGGGACATTCAAACCCACTTAATTAAATACACAGCTTTAGGAAAGTTTTGTTTTTGTTTTTGTTTCTGTTTTCTTTCTTTTTTTTTTTTTTTTTACTGTAAATATGGTCAACAGAAGCCCAACGGACCTTAGCCAGGTGTCTTTTGAGTTGGAGATAGAGCAAGCATGTTCACCTATTCAGTCACTTTCACCGACTGCCTTGAGGCCACTGCTAGTGACTTCCACTTCCATTAGGTTAGAGAAGTCATAAGGAATGATCCTGGTGACGAAGCGTCTGTCTGAAATAGGCAACTAGAGGCTTTGAACAAATAATATTATGCACAGGTAAGAATTAGAACAATATGGCAATGTGGGGACTAGCTTGCTACCCTCTATTTCATATTTCACTCAGCTGCTGCTGAGTTCTAAGACCTTTATCAATTTTTCCTTCTTTTAACCCACATTTATTTCCACCCCACTTCATCTTCTCCAACTGCCTTCTCCCCCAACCAACAAGCCAACAGCCTCACTGTGGCCAGGCAAACATGTCACTCACAGGCTCCATTGGTTATTGCCACCACATTCCTTCTGCTGGAGCAGGCGGCGAAAGGGGAGACCTGGTGAGAATGCCAGCCCAGCCACTTTCTAGCTTCTTCCTGCAGTCTTACAGAAGTTAGTTACAATCTTTCAGTTAGTAAAACCAAACTTGCTCATTGTCATGTGACTTGCAGGAAACGGGAGGATCAAGTGTCAAAGGAACAGAGGGCACTCAATAATCCTTATTTTTCTTTATTTCTTTGAGATCTTTTTCAAGTTACCCAAAACTTGCCTTTCCTTACTGGTAATACTTCTCATTTTTATAGCTGATAATAGAGGAATAGATACAGATAGAGATGTAAACTTAGCCATCTCCTCTGTGATAGCCTCCCTTCTAGTGTTAGCTGCTTCACCAGCTTCCCTAGACTGGGCCCATGTACATCAGATCATTATGCTACTCATTTCTTCATCCAGGACTTGTGGATTTCTTATTCCCTAACTGCTGAGCTTTTCATGTGCAGATTCAGCTAAGATCAATGTTATCCTGGGAAAAAGTGTCTTTGATAAACTTAAAATGTTCCTATAAGTCATCTTTTCGAAGAGAGTGACTTAACATAGGCTAGTTATTTTGTTAGAATCTTTCTAGGAGTTTTAAATTAATGATTACCATAATATATTTTAGTATGTTTAGTGGGATCTTATTACATTTGAATGTATACAAATTTGATAATTACAAAAATATGTAATTATATAATAATCATATTTGTAATAACAAAATTATGTTAGTGATAGCATCTTTATTTTTTTCTGTGGCAACTGACACAGAGACTGAAAGATATATTTCAGATTATATAAAGAGTACCCTATAATCCAAAGTTACATTGCAAGCTGTGAGGGAGAATACCCCTTACTGTATGCTATAAAGCACGCAGAATGCTTCAGCCTCTAAAGCTAATGAAACACTTTAAACTACATTCCCAAAGGCATGGAATATGAGAGAATTCATATTAGACAATATTTTCATCCATACTTTGATTGCTGAATGCATGTCAAGTAAAATAGACTATAAAGACAATATAATTTGACTGACAGAATAATGTAAGTTTAAGATCAAAAGTAAAAATAATAAAAAGGCAAATGTCTAAAAAATATTGGATGCATTTCACCAAAGTATACTTATCTAGCTTGAAAACTAGGAGATTTCTTTATGGACAAAATTAACAACAATTACAGAAAGATAAACTGTCCCCTCCTTCAAGATGATGTCCCAAAGTTTATACAGAGGTTTTTCAATTGATAGGAAACATTTCCCTTGAGGTTTATCACCATAAGCCTGCAGACTTACATAATGAGTAGCCACTTGTCTTTTTAAACTCTCCACCAAATATTCCCACTATATATTTTATCTCAGAATGTCCCCTACAACAATCTATTTAGGCTTTTATGACCTCTCATACGTTGAAAGTAAAACTAACAGCCTTGAAGATGTCCTTGAAGATGACTTTGTTCCAGGTGTCACCCCATGGTCTTAGCAGACAGGTTTCTTCTCCCAAGTCAGCACAGTTTGTTGACAGAATTGGCTTTTGCCTATTGAGAGCTGCATTGATCAGTGAATAGAATGAACTAAGGAACTCAGAAGCTTTCCATCACTGACAAAAAGCAGTGGACAGTATAAAAGCAGTTTATACATTAAGGATTTGCTGTGACTTCCTAGCAGTGACAGGATTAGAATGGTCATAGAACAGAGTTTGTTTTCATGCAGCAAGATCATGAAATGGCAGAATGTGCATGGTAAATAATAAACTGGTAAAAACAACTATTGTCAGATGATAACTGCTCGAATGTTCACGGTATGATCATAACATTTGTGGTTTCCTCTTTCAAAGATCACAAAACATAATAGTTGGTATCAAATATTATATAATCTTAAATGGGGAGATTAAATTCTGTATGGTCAAATTGTTGAAAAAGAATGATGGCTGTACAATACCAATTTTAATCTCCAATTGTACCATGTACTCTTTATCTGAAGAGCATTATATAGAAAGAGACATAATTGTAGAGATTAAAAATAATGTTCAGAAATTAATTATACAATTCTCACTATGAGTATTTGTGTTAATTATTCTCCATTGGCCATCCACAGCCCTCACTCCTATAGGATCATTCTCTGCTTTTCTCTGTCCTGATAAGGAATTCATTCCTTGAAGTCACTACATTTAAGCCATCTAGAGTAATTCTATTTTCCCACCAGAAGTCTAAGTAAAACACTATCAATCACAAAGAGACAAAACAGGAACAAATGAAATGTCCTACTGCACACTTCTGAATTTTTAGATCACAGTTTATGTCACATTATGACTTTAAAACTGGTTCCTGAAAACAGCAGCATCCATTATCTTCATAGTCACTGCACATGACTGAGTTGCTGCTAAAACTTGATAAACATTTGTGCTTTGCTTTATATTTGTTTGTATCACTATCTATTATTCATAAGTTTTATCTGACCTTCAAATACACTCTATAGACAGTTTACCCTGAGGAGTGCTGTAAGTCTGAGGACTCTACTAGGTGTTAGTTGGTAATAAATAGGTAAAAATAAAACACAGACCCATGGGAATTGATCATTGATATAATATGCTGTGGAGAGACGATGGACTTTGAAATATGAAGCCTGGAGGTGAAGTCCCAGGACTGGTCTTTCTTAGCTTATATAAGTGATCTTGTACACTTGCTCACTTAGCTTTTGTTTCTTCATTTATTAAAAGGAGGAAGTGAAAATCATTTAATAGGATTGCCATGAGAGCAAAAATAAACCATAAATATGGGAATTATATGAAAATACAAAGTGATATACTCTGCATAGTTATTTTACATTTAAAGCACAGATCACTGAAATACCAGTATTAAGGATTTAATAAAACAAAATTAAGTTGCAAGGCCAGTAATAAAACAGTAGGTATTGAAATTCTTTTGTTTTCCCACAATGATCAGCCTTAAGTCAGAATGGTTTGGAGAAACTGAAAATAAGGTGTCCCTAGAAAGTCATTTGTGAGTAGGAATACACTCCTCATCTCTTCCACACACTCAATATGTCAGTCAAAGTCCTGTGATTAGAGAACTCAACATTTTTCTATATTGCTCACTTATTCCTTCATTAAATAACTATTCATGGAGGATTTCCTATACTCCAGACACTGTTCTAAGTGTTGGGGACAGAGCAGTGAACAAAATAGACCATCAACGTATCTTGGCAACAATAATGTCCTCTCCCATAAGTTGATGTACATTTCTGTTGTTGAATCTTCATTTTTATTTTCTCTCTTGGTCGTATATTCATGACCCTGTAGATCAGGCCAACTGCTGGACTAGTTGGCCCCACTCAAAGAACTGACACACAAAGTCCCATAGATACACTTAACACATATACCATAAGAAAGGAAAAAACGATTTCATGCACACACACAAAAATAGAAAATCAGCCATCTGGCTTATGTCATCTGTGTTTCGAGAAAATTACTGAATAATATCAAACTGCATAAGGGCAATTCTTCAAACCTCATAGTCCCTTGATTATGGAAAACAGTCCCTGCACATTATGCAAATGCAAAACCTAAAGCTTAACATTTATTTACTCATTAATTATTTCTTTCAACAAAATATGTTAAGTGCCTACTCTCTGTCTTTATTTTGAGAATGAATTTCCTAGGGATCTTTGCATAATTAAATGCATAAAATAATACTATTCAGACAGAAAAAACTAGATATTCTGAGTGATTCCTGGCTCTGCTCTTGCACTAAGGAATATTGAAAACTGTGAGGCATAATTTCTGGTTATAAAGTTTATAATCCACTTGGGCACTGAAATATTACATATGGAACAATTAGCAAGGCAAGCATTAAACATATAAATATAATATTTCCCAGTGAATTATTATGTGAGTGTTTATTGGAAAAACAGTCGACAAATGCTTTCCAAATACCTTTGTCCTGAAAAATGAGGGTATTAAAAACATACAGTAGAGAGCACTGAGGCATGGTGTTCTAGAAGACCTCCAAAGTAAGAACCCCTTTGAACCAGTGGAAGAGGTGAAGAAAATATTCTTGCAATAGCTGAATATCGCAGTGAAACAGTCAAGACCAAATATCCAGATACGGGAAGTTCTGATGATAAGGTAGTGCCACTCTGTGTGGATGAATTAACAGTTTATCGTAATTCTCATTCATTTGGAAAGTGAAGTATATATTTGTGAACTCATAGGTTTCATATCTAATGCTCTTTTACTATTTTATACCCACTAGTCTCCTACTTTTAAAACAAAAATTAAAAGTAGCTTGAAAATATTTACTTGTTGACTAGATTTGGAGGAGTATATGGGACTTCAATTTTTTTTAATTAAGAGTACATCTGTTTTGTAATAGAACTGAAAAGTAATACTTTCACCATAGATATATGTACCTGAGAGTGAGCTCCATTTTCTCCATATATTCATAAATCTGACAAATATTAATTGAATATCACTCTAGTATCTGACATTATGAATATAAAAGGAATGGACTTAACCAACTCTCAAAAGAAATAAAATGAAAAGAGTTTTTTTTAAAATAGTACAATATTTGCATGGTTGAATACAGAAATAAAGGAATAACCCTCATAGTCAACCAGATGTCACATCAGGTTTTGCTGACCATTCAAATGGGATACACAACTCAGGAGAATGACATATTTTTATTGTCTGCTAATCATCATTTAGAATAATGGTTCAATTAGGAGTGATTTTGTCACATCTCCCACTCCACAGAGGACATTTGGCAATATCTGGAGATACTTTTGGTTGTCACATTGGGAAGGGAGTTTCTACTGGCATCTAGTGAATAGAGGCTAAGGATGATGCTTGACATCCTACAATACCCAACAGTTTGGTTCCAACAACAAAGAATTATCTGCCAAAAATATCAGCAATGCTGAGATTGAGAAACCTTAATTCAGAATGTCTAAATGGTGTTGAAAAGCCAAAGGAAGGCTGATGCAAAGAATTTCTGGCCAGTTGAACTTCAGTAGGTTCTCCGACAGGTTTCAGCAATATTTTATTCTTAATCAGCAATAATCTTACACTGAAAATCAGAATGTCAGACCAAGCTAAGCCAGTATTTTCATAGTCCAAAATTTAGCAAAATTGATTTATAAAGAACAGGTGCTTTATTTAATCAGACTTAGGAGTAGCATGCCACAACATTATCACAATGTACTTGTCAAAAGCTATAATTTGATTTATGACTGGTGAGCCTAGAATAGTCATAGACTCTTTCTGGGAAGAAATTCAAGTTCAATAGAATCCTTGATGACAACAAAAAAATTAGTTTTTACTATATGTGCACATACCTTCAAAATATTTGTACTCTGATGTACCACAGTGACTACTACTGGATATACATGAGAAGAATTTTGCTACCACTGAACATGATCAGCTCAGGAGTAGTCAAGATGATATTACGTATTTGTCTCAGATCCCAATACTGACCTCTATCTTTGATAGTATTGAATAGACAAGCATCAATGAAATATGATCAGCTCAAGAGTAGTCAAGATGATATTATGTATTTGTCTGAGACACCAACACTGACCTCTATCTTTGATAGTATTGAATAGACAAGCATCAATGAAATATTATCATAATTATAATCAACAGAAACAAGTAGTTCTTTGTTACTGCCTATGCAGAGGACATGACGTGGAGATAGTACATGTCCAATTATAATAATCTAGGATTCATGTATATGCAAAAGACAGACACGCAATATTAATCTGTTTGAACTTTACTTAACAAACACATAGTTTGTTAAGAGCTTTGAAAAATATTAACTCACTTAATCCTCATGTCAACCCAATAAATTAGATGCAATTCTAATCCCCATATTTTACAGATGAGGAAACTGAGATACAGAAAGGTTAATTCTCGCAACTGCCATCAAAACCGAATTACATCTTGCCTATATTGTTGTTACAATTGCCATCTGATCTTCCATCCCCATCTTTCTCCCTCCAATCCATATTGTACACTAACACCAGAAATTTTTTGTGTGTACATACCTACTCATAATTTTTCTCCTTAAAAAACTCCAGTGGCTCCTGATTTCTTATTGGGCTATTACAATTAAAAATAAGCAATAATATTTTTAGCAATCATAGCTAATATTTTTTTCTTGCCTTCTATGCAGCCCTACATTAAGCACAATGTATTATTATCATG
Organism: Homo sapiens; assembly: GCF_000001405.40. Lineage (NCBI taxonomy): Eukaryota > Metazoa > Chordata > Mammalia > Primates > Hominidae > Homo > Homo sapiens. Next base: position 85,528,254 of record NC_000004.12, on the reverse strand, counting down.
TATAAACCCAACTGATGTGGTGTGGAATACAGTGTCTGCTACAATCTGACCCAATCTCTGTCTTTTTCCATTCTTCTTTGTATGGACTGGTCCTTTCTTTCAGTGATTCTCTTCCCTTTCTATTTCAGTCCTATTCTTCAGCTCTCGCAGGGTTAGGTGTTCTATTCATTGTCTTTACAATGCAGCACAAACATAACACTGCTATTGTAGCACTCACCCTGTCATTTTGTAATCTATTGTTTATATGCCTGTCTCCTTTGTCAGTGTTTGAGAAATTCATTCCAGATTCACTTATGTTCCTGACACATAAAAGGTACTAATCAAACGTTGAATATATGTCTCAGGAAATCAGAGGAAGAAATTAATTGTTTGTTATCAATGCTGAGTAGCAGAAAAATCCATACCTACTTCTTGGATCAAATGAGAGGATTCTGCACATGAGGTGAAATTTCAAGAGTCATTTAAAATACAGAAGGAAAGCAATACTTGCCAGGTTTGAGAGGCAGTATTTCTATATTCAAAATGATGCTTGGGAAACAGGATGAGAATGAGTATACAAAAAACAAAAATAAAAACAAAACATTAAGTTGTCCTCCCTTGAACACATAGAGGAAGAGAACTAAGGTATAAAAGAAGAGATGAGTGAAACAGTTCAACACACTCAGGTAAAATTTTCCATATGCAAGATAAGGTTGCTAAGTGAATGAGACTGGTAATACAGAGACGTTAAGAAGAATAGCTTCCCTAGGTTGAAAGTGATCTTATTGTATCTAAATTTCTGTAATTTTTTTATAAAAATCATGTGGCTCAAAACTTTCAGTTTTGCCTTTCAATTATTAATATGCATGCCTATCTTCTGAAATAGAAAATATGCCATTTATCATCATATACCCTAATCTACCTATGTGTTTGACATAACTGACATCCAAAACAGTTTGATAATCAAATAAAACTCATGCATTAAGCTTATGAAGAGGTCGTGAAAACAAGCTAGAGTTATACTGAATGTAAGAAATGCAACATTACTTTTTATTCTAAATTATAATGCATTATTAATGAGATACAGCCTCAGAAAAGACAGCATTGTCCCTTGAACTATTCCTTCTTCAACTTTGCCTAGAATAATGTAACTTGGTATTTCCATCACACTTTTCTCTGGAGCTTAAAGTGCCTATACACATTACACTGATCTATTTCACATGTCCTGAGAGAATCAAGCGTGCAGGATATTGCTGATGCACAATAAACAAAGCAGTGAGTAGACTTTAAGATCCAAAAAAGGGTTTTGCTTGAGCTTATAAGAAATAAGTTACATAACAAATGTACAGATTATGTGTAATATTCCTAAAAGTAAAATATTAATACAACACAATAGGACTACATTATACGTATGCATCTATTATTAAAAAGCTGAACGCTATTTCTTTTCAGAGATGTTAGAATTTTTTCCTTATGTTTGTATTCTCTACAAGAGATTCATAAATTCATTATTGACACTCAGGTATTCAATAATTGAAGTTGTATTTGCTTTCAGAATTTCAGTGGCTAACTAAAGCAATCTCCAGTAGAATCCTACATCCAAGAAAGAGATGGGATAAAAGTTAGTTTGATAAATAGTAACAACTATTTATCATTATATAAGTAGGGAAAACGATCCCATGAACTGTCCTTCTCCCTTAATAGAGGCAGAAGTCCCATAGTCTTCAATAGTGGCTTTGAGATAGGCCCCATACCATTAGTATATAACACCCCAAATCACTAAGTTTTCTGCAGGCAACTACTTTTTATCTCATAATCTGATTTTAAGAAAGCTCTATTGAAGTGTAAAAAAAAAGTTGTTTCTTTTTTTTTTTTTTTGACAGGGTCTTGCTCTGTCGCCCAGGCTCGAGTACAGAGACACAAACACAGCTCACTGCAGTCTCAACCTCCTGGGGTCAAGCCATCCTCCTACACAGCCTCCTGAGTAGCCAGGACTACAGGTGTACACTACCACGCCCAGCTAATTTTTATAGAGACGGAGTTTTGCCACGTTGTCCAGGCTAGTCTTAAACACTTCGCTCAGGCCATCCACCCATCTTGGCCTCCTAAAGTCCTAGGATTACAGGTGTGAGCCACCATACCCGGCCAAAAATAAGTCTTCAAAACATATTTCATGCTCTGTCCAGTCAAGTTAGTGTTTATCAATACAGGTATCTGGACAAACTCTGAATTTATTAGGTCCATTATCTCAGTTTCAAAGGAGGGAAATGGAACAAAAGAATTAAAAAATATACAGCTCTGAGAACAGGCCCTTGGGGGTGTAAAAAGCCTCTAAAGGTATCTAATTCTATGTTTCTGACATAAAGGGTGAGAACAAAGTAAAAGGCGACCTTCTAAGAAAATAGCAACAAGGAGAACATTCATGACAACACTTCAAGAACTCTAGGTTGTGGCTCATTTTGTAGGCAACATCCATAGCTGATGCACTAGAAATAAAATATTTACTGGGATGCTCTTTTCTAGGATTTGTGACAGGTATGTAATGAGACAGCCATGCCATATCATCTCTTCTTCTGGAATGCAGTCTCCAAAAGACTGACTGTGGTGATTAAATTTAATGAGCTACAAATATGCAAGAGATCTAGTACAGTAGATGACACACAGTGAGTGCTCAATAATTGCATGGCTAATTTATAAAATGTTCTTGCCTCAAATAGCATGATGATCTGAAGATTTAGCCATGGTTTTTGTCTGAAAAATTAGTGACTTTCCATGCTTACTTTTTTTTTTTATAAAACTCATCAGAACTGCGTAAACTAACATTTTTTTTAATATGATGGTTTAAACTCTCCTAGTTTTCTGTGATGAGTCCTAGTGGAGAGCTTAAAGAATGCAAAAAGGAATCTTGAATCAAATAAAGTAAAAATTTGTAAAAGTTGAGCTAGAAAAGGTGTGAAAAGGATATAAATGCATAAAAGGAGCCACAAATGTGAGCTACGGTAAAAAAAAAAAAAAAAAGCCGATAATACATAAGCACATGGCATATGAAACTATTAGCAAAAACACATCTAAACAGAAAAGTCCAATTAATTTTTGAATATCATATAAATAATACTGCAATTTGGTATCAAAGATACAGTTTGGATATTAATAAGATGGTGGATACAATATAGATGCAGATGAAACCCAACTAAACTATGTTGGACTCTAGCTAAAAGGTTAAGAGATCATATAAGGATCTTCCATCACAAAATAAGAGTGTAAAGCCATCTCACAAGAACCCAAAGGCAGTCAAAATAAATCAATAGTATTGGGGCAATCCATAAGCCATCTCCTAGCTTTCCCCTCCCTTCATCCCTCTCCCATTTGTTGGGTTTTAGTCTGCTGCCTAACATGCTTTATATGTTTGTAAGATATTAGGTCTATATTATACAGCCTGAGAATTTGCACACTGAAAGCATCACCTAGGCCACCAGTTACAGTAATTCAGGTTGCTCACTGCACAGAGGCACCTGATGTACACAGAGGGGAGATGAAATTGATCCCATCCTCTGCTCCTGCTTCCAGCATGGGCTGCAAGTTAACTAAGGGTCACTGCCAGATTCCAGTATAGGCTTTGGACTAAGCCATATTTGGATTTAAATCCTAACTCCATCTCTTGCTGTGTGGCCTTATGCAAGTTACTTATCCTCTCCAACCTGTCTCCCCAAATGTAAAATAGGAATAACCTCATCAATCATGCAGGGCTGTGAGAATCAGAGATCTTGAATGGCCATGGGTCATCATATGTTCACATGTTTAATATGTGATAGCTATTATTATTATTATCTCTATAGTTCTGTGATATAAACTTTATTTCAGTAAATTCCTAACCATTAAATGGTAGAAATTTTACATAATGTGTACTTGGTGCATACAAGTTGTAGACCAATAGTAGAAGGAATATTTTAAAAAGTAGTTATACTAAGAATATGGTTATTAAATATTGGATGCTTAAGGACACTTAAGGAATTTGGTAAAAAATTAGCCCAAGGTTCTGATTCAGTGGTACAGAATGGTGGGGTTGGAGGAGGGGTATCAGAATTCTGTAGCGGAATTCTCCAGGTAATACTGACATAGGTGAATCACACATTGCAAACTCTGTTACGTGTAGAGAATATGGCTACCTGCATATGAGCCTGTGAGTGATAACTGAAAAATTATTCAGTCTCCCAAACACTACCTAGATATGCAAATGTACACCATGGATACAGAATTGGGCTGCCCACCACCACCTCTATATGAAAATGACCAACCCATATAAGGCTTAATCCCATCACAGTATAATCACGTCAAGATTTTAGAGTCAGCAAGAAATTTGTTTTTTGCCTGTTTCCTACAAAATTTTAACTCCGTTGTAAAGAAATCAATAGAATCCATTCTTTTAATATTTTGCCTTTTTTTTTTTAACCAAGGAACCTTCCTCCACAAGGTAGAAAAATAATCTTTCTTCCTTCCAACTCGCCTATAAGGCATTTATTTGTAAGCTAAGTGACCCTGTTGCTAACTATATTTACATATTATAGGTGATATGTACACTTAGAAATTTAACATGTTCCTGTAAACATGCAATGGCTACAGAGCAATTTGTGACTCCACTAAGTAGTCTTGGGCCATATTTGCATTATGAAGTTAAAGAAAGGAAAGGAATAACTAAAGTTGAGAGTTATTAGGAAAAGTCTCATTTATGCTAAATTGTCTGACAACTGCACAAATAATAAACATTTATATTTGTTTAAGGAGTGCTTATGTTTCACTTCTCCAGAGCCATTATCCTGATTATACTTTGATCAAATCATATCTAAAATTGATCTACCTTCTTTGAGACTTACCAATAGACGGCAATGAGGAGGTGCTCTGAGTCATAGATGTTTGCAAGCTATAACTGCAAGTTACTCTTTAAAATAGGAAATCTAGGAGTCATGTACAGTACTGAAGTACTTCAGTTCTCATCAAAAGAAAATTTAAGTGACAATTTATTCTTTTCATTTTAGTGTTATGGTAAAATTAGGTGACACAAGGGAAAGTGCTAGACATGTAGTAAGCATCCTTAAATAGTAGAAGCCTTCTTTATTATCTGACAAAAGAATGTGGTCTCCATTTCTGCATGGGTTTTTTGTTCCCAGGAGAAAATAGCTAACATTATCTGAATTTGTGGGATACCACTCTACCACGTCCAAGACTGGCAGAGCCACCTGGGAGCGTGTTAGCCACCAAAGAGTCGAATGACCAGCTGGTCTGGCATGTGGTCATGTGATAAGCAAGCTATTTACATACACACATCAGACAAAAAGGAATTGTTTGAATAAGCAGAGGAAAAGGCAAAAGAAAAGTCAAAGTGAGGGACTATAGTTCTACATACCTCTAAGTGGGCCTTGAAGTGGGGGCAAATCATGTTATCGTATAGTTCACTTACTTTACATCATGCGGATAAACTGACACAGGATAACATTGCAGTACATGATAGCAAAACAGGCAGGAGTTTTACAGCCAGATATCTGAGTTCAAATCTTGGCTCTGTCAGTTATGAAATATAAAACATGATGTAAATTATTTAAGCTCTTTGAGCATCACTCTCTACTTTGGAAAAGTTGGGATAGGACTATCAACCTAGTTAGATAGTTGGGATATTTATGGATAATTCTTTATAAGTACCCAGCAAAGTATCTGACCAAATAAGAATGCTCACAAATGGTGATGGTTGGAAAGTAAAATTAGCAATAACAACACCTTGCTTATATCTATCATCACCACTGCTTTCACTTCTGCTACTCCTACTGCAACTACTACCAACACCAGTCATTGTACAATGTGTGGAGAGTATGTTATGAAAATAATTATTTGTAGCAATTATGTATGTTCACCAACTGAGTATCACCTAAGTTAAAAGTCAAAAACAAAACAAAACAAAAAACTCTGGGATATGTGGTTGGGCTGGACTAAATTTGTGGAATTTGTTTATTTTATTAATGTGTTCATTTAAAGTATATTTATCTTCACAATGGTCTTGAATAAACCAAAGTTCAATGAAGCATCTTTATTTTATTTTCCAGGCTTATCTACACTGAAGTACCAGTAAAACAGATGGACTTGCATTTTTCTATTTGTTTTAATGAATTTTTAATTGGATATTTACTGAAAGCCTCATTTTTCTAGAATCCAAATGGAAACAACTGAAAATCAAAACTATTTTACATTGAGATATATACTATTTCCTGTTTTTTAAAACTTCTCAGAATTTCTACAAAACAGGCATCAAACATTTTAATAATTTAAAGAATGAGATCTTAATAATTTGATCTTTAGCTTTTCCACTGAAATTCTTTCTAACATACCAGCTTATCATTAACTTTGGTTACTGCTCTTGATCGTCAATAATAAATAACTACATTGGCCTCTTCAATGGGTAGAAATATCTCTAGCAAGGTAGCTCCTGTGACGTTTCCTATGAGACTGTGAGATTTGGAAAGAATATGTACTATGCTTGTAACAGAATTTTAAACTGACAGAAACTAGTTAAAATTAACATCAAAGTAGGCTGTAATTTACTAAATAGACAATACACTAGGATCAGCAGTATGTAGAGATGCTAAAAGGAGAGAAGTGACTCAAAGGTGGGAAATGTCACAGCACGCAGGCTGGGGATTAGCTGTGATGACAATGGTGAGGTGTTGTTGCAAGGTTTCCAGTTGGAGGGCTGCCTGGGCTGCCTTGGGAATGAGAACAGAAAGATGTGAACTAGAGTGGAAGTGGATGAGTGTGGCAATGTCCGGATGGAGGTGATAAAAAGGGAGGGGGATAGAAGGTATGATGTAATATATATATTACTTTTTCAAGTGGCTCTTAAGATCATCTGGCAGCACCTTGCCTTCTATTCTCCTGATTTCCACTCTTAGACACTATGTAACTTTCAGTGCCTCCTTTCAACAACACTAGAAGCCTTCCAAGGTTAGTGTTGGGATGGGGGATGGATGAGCAGTGCATCCGCCCAGAAAATGGAATAATAGCATTGCTGCTTATCAGTGAAACAACATGCTATTTCAAGAGTCAGTGTATTGGGGCCATTAGTAAAGGGTTTGGGAAAAAGACCATTTAACTGGGCATCATTGAATGAGGCTTGTGCCTCCAATTCATCCTATGACTTACATGAGCTACTCTGCTGAAAAAAAGCTCTGATCCGTGTCACTGCCCTGCCCGAAAAGTTTAGTTGAATCCCTGATGCATACAAAATAACTTCTAAACTATAAATTTGGCATAGACTTTTTCAGTCAACTTCTCTGCTCTCACATCCCCCTCTGATCTCTTTCTTATTCCTCCAATGTACTCTCCATTTGAGTGATTCTCATCTACCTCAGTGTTTCTTAAGTACACCACACTGTGCCTCTCTATCTTCATTGGTCAAATCATTCTTTGCAGTAGAAAATCCTCTTTTTCACATATTCATCCATCAAAGTCCAATCAATGCTAATTCATGTCTGCATCCTCAAGATTCTCTGCATCATGCACTGTACATGTTCAAGTGCATATCCTTTGAATCAGCAGTGGTACAACCAGGTCCTGCAGAGATGGCAGCTGACACATGGTTCAATAAATTACAGGTTCAAGAAAATACAAGGGCTTATTGTAGCATAAGTAGGAAGGTAGAATGCAGAGAGATAGTTAGGAAATTTCCTTCCCCCCATCATTGCCCACATTTGTAAATATTTATTACTGATTGAATATGCACTGAGTTATTGGCACTACATTAGGCATTACTGAGGGCCACACAACAGGACTGGCAATCTTAGAAGGAACATATCCTATGCCCATTATCTTCTATAAGAAAGCTCCTACATTAGATGAAGTCGGAAGAGTTAGACAATATACCTCAGTTTTGGCATTTTCTGTGTTCCATGAAAAAATGGAATTGTAATCTGTGATGCCCATCAGTGTCTCTCATGACTTACCTGCAGCTCTCCTCCACACCTGGGCACTTGGATTTATGGGCCATTTGAAAACCCCCTGACAACCTTTACACTTTTGCATCATAAAACAGTATAAATTTTATATGCTTTCCCACACCATATATGGAAATTAAAACCTCTTTTATACACACTATTTGTCTTGTATAGCTGGTTTATGATGAGAAAGGAAGCCAAGGATGTTTTTGAAACAACAATTCATTAATTATTTTTTTAAAAGGTGTACAAATTGCTTCATTTTGCTAGGTAAGTATGTTTTTAAATCATCACTAAAGTAAACACGAAAGGTGAGAGGAATAAGGGATAGAACAAGTACAAAAGTGACTTCAAAAACCTCATCTGAACAGAAATATTTTTGTATGGAAAATGATGTAAGGAAACAGGAGACATCCACACCACAGTCGGGACAGCCTTGAAGACAAAGAGTTTTCTTTGGTTTTTGTCTTTTATAATGAACAAGATAAGAGGTAGCCATTGAAGATTTCAGTAGAGGGAGAAGTAAAAGACCATTTAACACATGGAATGGTGCCTTAATCCTACAGCAAGCTGACACGAGTTTCATTCTCTTCAGAAACGAATATTTTCAGATTCTAGAAAAATCGAATTGCTGCTTTGTAAGGGCTTCCAGGCTAAGTCAGTTGATCTGAGAAAATCAATTAACATAGTGGACTTTATAATTTTGTTGAGATCTAATTTTATGTGTATAAAGCCTGTCTCTCCAATAAAATTATAAATGATCTCACCCACTTCCAAGCTCTCATTAATGATAGTTAATAATAAGTTATTTAATTGCTGACTTACTTGGTAAACAATGAACTAAGTCTAGGCATGACACTAGACTCAGGACTCAGGAGAAGGACATTAGCTATGTGGAGAGAGCCAGGTAGTCCTGGGTCCAAAATCAATGTTGGGAAGGAGTTTAACCTCTCTGAGCCTTAGTTTCTTCCCTTAGATAGTGGTATAATAAATGTGTTAAAAAGTAAATATATAGAACAATGGCACCTGGATGACATTCAGCACCTACTAATGTGTGGCACCAAAGGGGAATTGAGGAAAAAAACATGATCATTATTCCCAAGGTCATTGTAATCAAGGAAGCCACAGAAAATAAATAACATCAACTGTTTTTTGATTGTTTGATTATGGCTATTCTTGCAGGAGTAAGGTGGTATCACATTGTGGTTTTGATTTGCATTTCCTGATCATTAGTGATGTTGAGCGTTTTTTTCATATGTTTGTTAGCCATTTGTATGTTGGGGTGGATGTGGTGAACAGGGAACACGTCTACACTGCTGGTGGGAATGTAAACTAGTACTGCCGCTATGGAAAATAGTGTGGAAATTCCTTAATGAACTAAAAGTAGAACTACCATTTGATCCAGCAATCCCACCACTAGGTATCTACCCAGAGGAAAAGAAGTCATTATTCGAAAAACTTACTTGCACACACATGTTTATAGCAGAACAATTCACAATAGCAAAATTGTGGAACCAACCCAAATGCCCATCAATCAATGAGTGGATAAAGAAACTGTGGTAAATATAGATGATGCAATACTACACAGCCATGAAAAATAATGAATTAACAGCATTTGCAGTGACCTGGATGAGATTGGTGACTATTATTCTAGGTGAAGTAACTCAGGAATGGAAAACCAAACATCGTATGTTCTCACTGATATGTGGGAGCTAAGCTATGAGGACGCAAAGGCAAAAGAATAATACAATAAACTTTGGAAACTTGGGGGGAAGAATGGGAGGCGGGTGGGGCATAAAAGACTACAAATATGGTGCAGTGTATACTGCTCTGGTGATGGGTGCACCAAAATCTCACAAATCACCACTAAAGAACTTACTCATGTAACCAAATGCTACCTGTACCCCAAATAACTTATGAAAATATAAATAAATAAATTTTTTTAAAAAAAGAAATAACAAATAATTTTTATAAAATGTCATCTAACTAGAAAACCCTTGGGAACAAATCATTCTTCATAGTCAATTTTCCTAGTTAGCTAAAGATTTTCTGCCTCTAAGCACCAATTCTTTTTCATATTTAATTATCTGAGCTGGAAATGCCTCCAAAAACACCTTACATATTATTTTGCTTCTTCCTCATGATATACTGAATGTCATTTAATATTTTCATAATAACTCTGCAATTGCTTTATGGATATTAGTTTTGGGCACTTTGAGGTTTGTTTGTCCTAACTTCAATGGCCTTAGATTGCTATAATTTTGAGGATTTCTGTGTGATATTTTTAGAAAGTCTCTTGTCCTTTCACTAGATGTCACTTCTTAAAGTTGTCAGTGTGCTTGCCTGTGACACCCCTTCTGCCTTCTAATTTACTGCTGCAAACCTACATTAGATCACTAGGCAAGTTAGAATTCTTCTTACGTTTTAAAGAAATATTACGTATTCACATAAAATTATATATTGACCCTCTAAATGTGGAATAATTTTAGAAATGACTACTGAAATAATAAAAGCAGAGTCAGAGTTTTTCAACCTAAAAGTCAAAATATTAGCCTGTCAAAAAAACCCACAAATAACATTAAAAATTTATTAAACCGGGTAAGCATTGCACTAAGCATGATTGATGAAGGAATAGTATTTTTATACGCATGTTCATATAAATTAATAAGAAAACACTAAAATGTCAAGGCAACATGAAAAGCAAGTCACAAAAGAAGAAATGATAACTAATTAACAAGCATATAAGAAAACGTGTAATCTTTTGAACAATTAAAGAAATGCAAACTGGTTAGCTTTTAGGCTATTAATAATTTTTGAAATTTAAATGTTAAAAAAATTTTAAATTGTTAAATTTTGTGACAACTGTTATATCAGTTGCCCCATGTTTTAAAACAATTTAGCAAATCAGTATTTTTGGCAAGGAGTCATAAAAATGTCCACAATTATATACTGTTCAGAAAAAATATGATAATTCTACTTGCTTAAAATGAGAGGGGGGCTATTTGTTTAAAATAAAGGGGGCTATTTGTTTAAAAATAAGGGATAGGTGAAAAAATGTTTTATTAACTCACATATAATGGTGAATGAGCTAACACTGCCCTATATACAGATTTAAATGTACTATGAAATTTGTATATTTAAAACAGTGAGCCACTGACACAGGTATAGGCGGATAGACCAACAGAACAAAAGGGAAAATCCCGAAATGGACCAAGTGCTGTGGAAACTTGTTACATGATAAAAGTGTCAGCTCAACTCACTGAAGGAAAAGGAGAGATGGAAAACTGAGGTTGGGGAAACTGGAAAGCTATTAGGAAAAACATAAAAGTGGATCCATATCTCACACTACATACCAGAGTAAACTACAAATGAATTATATATCTAAATTTAAAAAAATAAAATCATAAAAGTATTAGCAGGAGACATAATTACAGGAAAGCCCTTACAGCTATGACTTATAATCCAGATCCAAGGAAAGACCAATCAATTACATACCATAAAATTAAAAGTTGGGGGCAGGGAGGCAGAAACTTCTGTATGGCTAAAGAAAAGTCAAAAGACTAAAAATGAAGAAAACATCTGCAACATGTATCCCAAACATAAGACTAAATCTTTAAAACTTTAATAGATAAAAGCTCTTCAAAAATTAAGAAAAAAACCCACAAAATCTCAATAGAAAAAAAAAAGATGAAATACAAAGTTTTAAAAAAATACATACAAATTTCTTGGCCCTTAAACATAAGAAAATATGCAATTCTCAAAATAAGAGAAATTAAAATTATGACTACAGTAAGTCCTCACTTAACATCTTCCATAGGTTCTTGGAAACTGCAACTTTAAGTGAAACAACATATACTAAAACCAATTTTACTGTAGGTTAATTGATATAAACAAGAGTTAAATTTCTATGGCATACTTCTGGTTCCAAAAACATTGAAACAAATATGAGTTAGACATATATTTAAGAAATATTGATAAAAACAAGTAAGATAATTATTTACACAATTATTCTAGTTCAGGGATGCAGGTGGCCAGAGCTTATCCAGGCAACTCAGTGCTCAAGGTAGGGACCAGATCTGGATAAGAGACCTTCCTTCACAGGTGCACTCTCACACCCACACTCACTTAGACTGGGACTATGTCGACATGCCCATTCACCTAGTGTGCACATCTTTGGGGTGCTGGAGGAAACCAGAGTACCTGCAGAAAACCAGCAGACCTGGGAAGAATGTGCAAACATCACATAGACAATGGCCCTGGCTGGGAATTTTTTTTTTCTCATCAGCCTTGTAATAAAAAGATGTTATTCCAGGTCCTGCTGTACACATATTAAATAGGCAAAGATGTTCAAGTTTGACAGCACCCTCCATTGGCAGGGCTAAGCAGAAACACTGTTACGTATTGATGGGGAAGTACAATATTGTATAACCCTAGAGTTCAGAATATGTCAATATTGACAAAAACTATAGGCATTTACCTAAGCAATGACACTTCTGACAGTTTACCTTAAAGATTCACCTCTAAAATTATCCAACAACATATGTTCATGATTAATTCTACCATTATTTTGTAATAGTAATAGATGAAAATAGCATAAACGCCCATCCATAGGAGACTGACAGAAAAAAACTAGGATACACCACACAAGGAAATATTATGAAACTATAAAGAAAGAACTAGGAAGAGTTCTGGAAACAGCTAATGGAATGATTTATGGACATATGGTCAATTGAAAAAGAGAGACAGCTGAGTGTGTATAACATCCTACTTTTTGTGTAATAAAAAAGAATAAGAATATATATATATATATATGTCCTAGTTTATTTTGCACAACCCAAACTCCTTCTCAAAAACAATGATTACCTGTATAGAGTGGGTATAGTTTATTTTGCACAACCCAAACCTCCCCCCATGCCAAAAAAAAAAAAGATTACCTGCATAGAGTGGATATAGGATGAAGAAGTTATAGATAGAAGGGAGACTTCTTTGCATATACCCTTTTATACAGTTTTTACTTTTATCCCATGTAAATGATGTATCATTCAGAAAATAAAGTTAAATCCAAAAGAATGAAAACAAAAATACTTCTCTGCTTGGAGGAATTCTCAGATAATAGAAACATACTTTGCCCATGCATGCAGGGTGACTGAAAGTTCTGGGAGCTATAGCCCCAGCCTCCAGCTTTCTATTCTAAGGATTATTCACCTAAGGATGAATTAGATCTGAAGAATATTCTACGTACTCTCTCAGAAGATCCGCAGCAGGATGTTGTCCCAGCTGCCCAGGGCAGTCCCCCGCTCCGTAAGCACCCTTCACTGGCGTTATTCCTTCCCTATCTGGCTTCTGCATGTCTTCACTATGGATCCTTGAATCATTTCTGCCAAAACTACTTTCACTTTAATCCTTGTCTCAGGGTCTGCTCTTGGGAGCTTCTGTGCCAAGACAGACAATATCACTTTTTTTTTTTTTTTTTTTTTTTTTTACAATTTAGAGTAATTTCTATATATTATTGCTAAGGCAACACATGATCCAGTTGGGCAAGTGGGACAAGTGGAAGTTTATGATGAATAGATCCCTGGATGGAACTTTAGATAAGCTTCATCAAGGGCTTTCTTGGAAAGTCAGAACAAAGGTGGCTCCCCTCCCCTCCACTACTAAACCTTTTTGCTCTGCCACTCCTGATTCAAACAGCTACTGGGTCTGCAAGTGGTTAGGACATGAGAATAAATCTCTGTGGGGCCTTTTCTCCAGTGGGACATGGATTATATATAATAGAACTGCTGGGGATATGATTATTTATTAAATATACAAAATGTAAGCAATGTGAAAAGGAATTCACATGCAAAAAGGAAAAATTATACACTATGTATAAATAAAATCATAAAAGTACTAGAAGGAAACATAATGACAGGAAAGTGAAAGTAGATTAAAGTGAAAGTAGTTTTGGCAGAAATGATTCAAGGATCCATAGTGAAGGCATGCAAAGGCCAGATAGGGAAGGAATAACACCAATCAAGGGTGCTTACGGAGCAGGGGACTGCTCTGGGCAGCTGGGACACCATCCTGCTGGGGATCCTCTGAGACAGTATGTAGAATATTCTTCAGATCTAATTCATCCTTAGGTGAATAATCCTTAGAATAGAAAGATGGAGTCTGGGGCTGTAGCTCCCAGGCTACACTAAAAGAGAAAAATTTGCTTCATCATAGAATAAAAGTTTCAGGAATTATCTTTAAATGGGTCATTCCACAAAGACTTTCAAAAGGATTGATGAGGAGATAATTTCCAGAGACAGAAAACAGGAATGCAGACCTTTTATAAGAGAAGAAACTGCAGGTAATGACAACATACACATATTAGGACCCCTGTCATGACAGTCGTCAAGTAGAGCAAGTGAAGATACTGCAACTGTGACTTAGATGAAACCTCTGGGACAAGCAACAAAACTACAGGCAAACCAGAACCAGGCAATCTGAAGAGTGGAGAAGAGAATTCATCACAAGGGAAAAAGAAATCAAAGAGAAACCACAAAGAAGAAGATAAGAAAACTTTTTGCAATATCAAATATCAGATACAATGGACAATTAAGCTACCTGCCAATCCTTCCCATAGTTTGCTCATATGAGCCAATACATTTCTCCTGGTGTTAAAACTATTTCAAGTTTGTTTTCTGTCTTTAGTAGTCAAAGAATCCTGACCAAGAGACCAGGTCATTTAAAAATGCAAGGAAGCTTTTTTTTTTAAAAAAAAGGCAATCATTCTAAGTGGAGAGTGTTTAGGCAACTGGACACAGGAGAATTGAAAATTACACACAAAGAAAATATTTCTTCCTAGATGTCCCATTTTTTAAAGTAGGATAAAAATTATGGTTAACAATCAGGTAATGGAGTACTAGTGCTCCCAGGGGCCAAAAAGGACACTGAAACAGGAATCCCCATGTGGACAAACATGGCAGCAAAAGCGAAAGGATTTCTGTCTCCTCCAGTGCCTGAAATGGGGCTCAGGAATTCTGGATTCTGTTTCTTCCCCACCCCAGGTGTCCACTGAAGGTTTGGCCACCACTGCTTTGGTGACTGTACCAAACAAACTTCTTTCCCAACTCTCTTTTGGAATTAGATGGTAAATTCCCTATGGAGTTGCCTCCTGATGGAGATGTTTCTGTGGATAATTGGAGGTCCAGCAGCTATTATTGCTCTCCTTGTGTGTGTTTAGCCAAAGAAATGACAGTTGTGCCACAGAGGGAGCACCTACGATTCACAAGGCAGAAAAGAATGCCAATTAATCTAAGGGAGAGGACATAACTCCCATGGCCAAGCACATTTGTCAAAACAGACCACACACCCACTCTGGAGAACACATTCAAATCCTTTTGGTGTTCTCTGTCCTCTGGGGTGTGAATATATTGGTGGGAGTACTGAGTTTAATTTGCCTTGAATTCACTTGAACTTCTTTTTAACAATAGGAAATAATTTAACCTTTCTCTGCCTCCATTTCTCATATATCAAAGAATGGCTTGTCATTATCAGATAATATCAAATATCCTGAATTTGCATTTGTTACATGTAAATTAACTGAGCTTAAAAAACATTTTTGTGACAAGTTATGGAGAAATTTGACCAGGATTCTGGCTCTATAAATATCACTTCCACTCATTATCCATGACTCACAGCTCTGAGTTATTCTAGGGAGCCCCTAAATTTCCAAACAATCCCAAAAGACCTGGTCGATTCAGTATTTCTTGGCATACAGCTGATAAACTTTTAATAAAATATAGTAATCTCAACCATAGTTGAGTACTCTCTGAGACCATTTTCAACATCTACAGTGCACAAACTATAATGGCCCTGAGTGACTGAAATTTAATATCTAATGTGCAACTACACTAAGCCAGGTACTAAGCTTGGGTGTCTAACTAGAGCAGCAATAAAAATAACAACCTAAATAATAGTGACTAAACAAATGGCTAATCTATACTTGTACTTACTATGTGCCAGGCATTTTACTAAGCATTATCTCATTTAATCCTCACAGCAGTATGAGGTGAGAACTAGAATTACCTACGTTACAGTTGAGGCTCAGTGAGGCTAAGTAATTTGACAAAGGTCACATAGTTACTTCGTGGAGGAAATGAGACTTGAACTCAGAATGGGACATGGGTTGAATTGTGTGCCCTCAAAAGATACATTGAAGTCCTGACCCCCACTACCTCAGAATATGGCCTTATTTGGGAAACAGGTTTGTGGCAAACATAGTTAAACGGATGCCATAAGGGAGTAGAATGGCCTCTAGTGCAACATGACTGATGTCCTCATAAGCAGAAGGCTGGGTGATGACAGTGAGACCCACAGGGAGAGCACCATGTTATGATGAAGGCAGAGATTAGAGTTATGCAGCTGCAAGCCAAGGATTTCCAGCAAACCACCAGAAACTAGGAAGAGGAAAGGAAGGATTCCCCCACAGGCTTCAGAGGGAGCGTGGCCCTCCTGACACTTTGATTCTGCACTTCTAACCTCCAAAACCATTAGACAGTGAATTTCGGCCAGGCGGGTTGGCTCACGCCTGTAATCCCAGCACTTTGGGAGGCCGAGGCGGGTGGATCACCTGAGGTCGGGAGACTGAGACCAACCTGACCAATGTGGAGAAACCCTGTCTCTACTAAAAATACAAAAAAATTAGCCAGGCATAGTGGCGCATGCCTGTAATCCCAGCTACTCGGGAGGCTGAGGCAGGAAAATTGTTTGAACCCGTGAGGAAGAGGTTGCAGTGAGTCGAGATCACACCATTGCACTCCAGCTGGGCAACAAGAACAAAATTCCATCTCAATAAAATAAAATAATAAAATAAAATAATAAAATAAAATAAAATAAAGACAGTGAATTTCTTTTGTTTAAAACCACCCAGTTTGTGGTACTTCGTTATAGCAACCCTAGAAAACTAATACAGTGCCTAACTCCAAAGCCTTCGGAGGGCACATCAGTTGAAAGTCTTTCCTAGATCGTTAAAGAAACATTTAATTACACATAGAAGAGATATAATTTTTCAATTTTATTAGATTCCAAGTTACATAAAGATCTCCAGAAGACAGATTTTAAAAAAATCAGAATTCTTATTTTCTGCCTCAGTTGTGGTAAGCACAATTTTTGTAATTATTTTAAAATGTTTTCTAAAATAGCTTAATTCTATCCTTTTGAATTACTGGAATAACCAATATTTATTCTGAAGCAATTTTCATTTTCAAAAAGGATTCTTTGTATTTTATGGGTGGCCGTTAGATGGCTTTATTTGAATTACCATACTATAAGAACTCCTCTAGAAGAAACAGACTAATACTAGGGTGGGTAAACAAGACAAGTTTACATAATATACCGTTACTATGCAGCCAGCATTTTACCAGAGCAGAGGCATGGGTTCTCCTTTCCAAAGAAAGTAATGGCGATGAGAATAGAGACTCAGAGGAAGAGAGAGAGAGCGAGAGAGAAGGAGGAGGAGGAGGAGGAGGAAGGGGAGGGGCTAGAGGAGGGGGAGGAGGAGGAGGAGGAATGTATTAAAGACTTATTGCCATGAAGGTGACAAGGAAATAAATGACCATAAGAGGAAAAGCAGGGTACATAGAGCAGTGGAAAAAAAATGAGCCTGGAGAGGGGAGAGGAGGCTCCTGGAGAACCTGGGAAGGACAGGGGAGGGAGGGGAAGACGGGGAAGACAAGGGGGAGAGAGGGGAGGGAAGAAGGAGAAGGAAAGAGATAAAAAGGAAGGCAAGAGAGGGAAAGGGGTTGGGAGAGTGAGGGGGAGAGGGGAGGGAGAGAAGGAAAAAGAAGGGAAGAAGGCAAACGGGTAGAGAGAGGGAGAAAAAGAAAGGGAGAGAGAGGGAAAGAGAAGGAGTGAAAGAAAGGGGAGTGGTACATTAGGAGGGAAAATATGCTGAATATGTGTGAAGGTGCGAAATTTGGTCTTTCTGTTCATTGGCATGCATAGCAAATATTTTCCTCAGGGTCTTAGTGCCAGCTGACACAGAATGAAATAAGACACATTCCATGGCACTTTCACAATGATAAGTATCTGGTCAAAAACCCAATGGAGGAAAATACTCTTATAAAACTCTCATTTTTTATTTTTCTCATCTTGGCAAAGTCTTTTCTCTGAAACAAAAGAGCAGTGTATATTCCTGTCACTTTATTTTGAAGAGTCCCTTTTAAGAGCCGCCACATCACATGCAATACTTGATCACTCTCAAAGTCCAAGTTCTTTAGTGCCAAGAGCCAAGTGTGCTTTGGCTTGATCTTTGAGAACTATTTCTGAATAGTAAAGATCAAGGGGCATCCATATGGAGGCGCATCTTGCCACCACTCTATCTTTGTGCTGTTCAAATATTGTATTTATTAGGACCAGGACTTCCTAGTAATAAACAGAATCACAGCATCCGATAATACAAAAGGGGCATTTTAAATGTAATATATTCCATTTATAAGTATATATTACATATTATAAATATAAATGTGAACATAATTAAACATCACATGAAAAGCTTCCAGGTTCAAACAAAGTGAAATCATTCTTCAATATAATCAAACCAGGAAAAGCATCATAATTAAGTAAAATGAAAGTCAGGAGCATTAAAAGAACAGATCCCAGACCAGATCTTTATTGTGCTTTAACAATAAACATGCTACCAGGTTATAGCAGATGAGCATTTCAAAACACAAAGATAAAGAAAGAGTTCTTAGAGACAAATGGTTCATTAGGTATCATTTCAACTTTCTGTGCTAGAAAAATATTTATATATTTAATATACTAAGAATTTTGTTTTTGTAACACATTACATATATTTTCAAATATGTGTAACTTTTTTTTATAATCTAGCCATCGCTTTTCCTTATATTTTAGAATTTTTAAATTCACTTAAGACATTTCCAGTTAAGAACCATGCATAAAATACTAGAAATTAGAATTTTTTTTAATTATACTTTAAGTTTTAGGGTACATGTGCACAATGTGCAGGTTAGTTACATATGTATACATGTGCCATGCTGGTGTGCTGCACCCATTAACTCATCATTTAGCATTAGGTATATCTCCTAATGCTATCCCTCCCCCCTCCCCCCACCCCACAACAGTCCCCAGAGTGTGATGTTCCCCTTCCTGTGTTCATGTGTTCTCATTGTTCAATTCCCACCTATGAGTGAGAATATGTGGTATTTGGTTTTTTGTTCTTGCGATAGTTTACTGAGAAATTAGAATTTTATAAGTGGTAAATCCATGGCATAGCTAGAAAGTTCTCTAAAACTTCAGACAATGCAGTGATAGTTTATGCAGAAACAGACTGAGGGAAGGCTTCATGGAAGGGCAGAAGGAGCCAGACCTGATAAGCAAGACTCACACAGGGAGAGAGGAGGAAATGTCACAGGGGGAAAGGCCTAGAGATAAGAGAGACCTTGGAATGTGGGTGGAGGACAATAGGAAGACTAGGCCTATAGGTTAGAACATATGGAGAAATCAGGCTGACCCGGCCAGTTTGGTTGTCAAGTCACAGCAAGAGGACACCAATGTAGATCCGTGGAGAGGGGAGAAAGATGATGAAAGCAGTGGTTTATTAAGATATGCAGATAGGTGATACCTTTGTGCAAAACACCAATAGTCCAGGCATCAAATGGTAAGGGTCTGGGGAAAGCTCATAGCACGGGAATGAAAGGGAAAAATATTACACAAGATTTATCAGAGCTTAGAGACAGGGTGCTGGAGTTCCATCTTTAAGATCTGTATTGTGTTTCTCTTTTGGCTGGAGATGACAAAACTCGGTCTTTTTGCCTTAGGTCAAATGCTTAGGCATCAGGCAGAGAAACACTTCTTTTAAAGCTATAATTTATGAATGGAAGATCACTCCTGTAACTTTCAAAATAACCCACTCAATTCTGCAAATTTTTATTTTCAGGTGGTATCTTCCTTTGTTAATGTTAGTATTTTTTAAAGTTGAAAGTTAGCATAAAACAATGCAGTATCTTCCCTAATAAAAATCTTGCCCTCATTTCCCCCAAATTATTTTCTTAGGGTATTTTTGAATCAGTATTTCAGAAAATGTTTTTATGTTTTCTCTATCTGCTTTACATTGGAAAAACTGCATGAGCAATGTAAGGTATATTTCAATTGAGATATGTTTTCTCTCCAGAGGAAAAATTCAATCCTGAGGCCATATATCTGGAAACTTCAAAAATCTGAATCTGTTAATTACCTAAGAATTAAAAAAAAAAAAGAATAATGATGCTGAAAAGGCAAAGGAGATATAAAAATGTCCATGGATTTATGCACATCAACTTTATTCATAGGCCGAGACAGCAAAGCTTCTCATCTAAGTTGATTTAATCATATTTTAGATACTTTTCTAATAAGAATGGCTGTCTATCAGGCAGATTAAAAAAAAAGGTCACAAGGATAGGAAACTCCCATTCATTTGTTGATTTATTTATTAAGTAACTATTTATTGAATATCACTTCTATTCAAGGCAATAATTACAAAGATTTATGAAAAAGAACCTGTCCCTACAAGTAATAATGAAATCTTGGATTTACATAGGCCCTTATATTTTATCAAGTCCTTTCACTTACCATGCAAACACCTTCCACAACCCGGTGAAGAAGTGAGGAGTCATTTTCACTATTTTTAGGTCAGAAAACAGAACTATCCAGCCATAGAGGGTCTTTTGCTACCCACAACTTATAACACTCATGCTCGTCACCATTTCATTGTTTATTCTCTTTCTGCTGATGGGAATGTCAGTTATTTATACAGACACTTATCACTGATGACATTCACAAATACACACTAAATACCTACTATAAGCTAGGCACCAAAAGCTTTGAGATGGATAAGATGAAACAAACAGAATCATTTTCCTCAAAGAGTCCACATACCAGTGAATAAAAAGGTAAACAATAGTGCACACCTATAGTCCTAGCTATTCAGGAGGCTGAGGCAGGAGGATCACTTGTGCCCAGTATGTTAAGGCTACAGTGAGCCATGATCGCACCACTGCACTCCAGCCTGGGTGACAGAGTAAGACCCTGTCTCTAAAAAAAAATAATAATAATAATAAAATATTTTTAAAAGACAAGTAAATAGAGGAAAGTGATCAGTGATCCAACAGAAGGTCCAATATGTCAATATGCAGATCTCTGGAAGCATTCTCCCTCAGTTCATGCAAATCCAACCATTCAAGCTCAAGTCCCACTTCTGCTATATAGCTTCTTTTAAAAATCTCAGTTCACATTGATTTAGCTTTCCACTGAATTCCTGAACAATTGGAATCTACCAAATTTACTCCTTTATTAAATGTGCTGTTTATATATCCAGTTTTCTAAATGTGTGTTTTACCTACTTTATCACATTTCTAAGTTCCACATGGGGGGAAAAAAAAAGGCTTAGATCCCATTCCAAGATAGCCGAATAGGAACAGCTCCAGTCTGCAGCTCCCAGCGTGACTGATGCAGAAGACGGGTGATTTCTTCATTTCCAACTAAGGTACCTGGTTCATCTCACTGGGGCTGGTTGGACAGTGGGTGCAGCCCACAGAGGGTGAGTCGAAGCAGGGCGGGGCATTGCCTCACCCAGGAAGTGCAAGGGGTTGGTGGATTTCCCTTTCCTAGCCAAGGGAAGCCATGACAGATTGTACCTGGAAAAATGGGACACTTCTGCCCAAATACTGTGCTTTTCTCATGGTCTTCACAACTGGCAGACCTGAAGATTTTCTTCTGTGCCTGGCTCAGTGGGTCCCATGCCCACAGAGCCTTGCTCACTGCTAGCGCAGCAGTATGAGATTGACCTGCAAGGCTGCAGCCTGGCTGGGGGAGGGGCGTCCGCCATTGCTGAGGCTTGAGTAGGTAAACAAAGTGGCCAAGAAGCTCAAACTGGGCAGAGCCCACCACAGCTCAGCAAGGTATACTGCCTCTATAGACTCCACCTCTGTGGGTAGGGCATAGCTGAACAAAAGGCAGCAGAAACTTCTGCAAATTTAAACGTCCCTGTCTGACAGTTCTGAAGAGAGCAGTGGTTCTCCCAGCATGGCGTTTGAGCTCTGAGAACAGACACGCTGCCTCCTCAAGTGGGTCCCTGACCCCCATGTAGCCTAACTGGGAGACACCTCCCAGTAGGGGCCAACAGACACCTCATACAGTCAGGTGCCTCTCTTGGACGAAGCTTCCAGAGGAATGATCAGGCAGCAGACTTCGCTGTTCTGCAACATTT
This sequence comes from Homo sapiens, assembly GCF_000001405.40. Lineage (NCBI taxonomy): Eukaryota > Metazoa > Chordata > Mammalia > Primates > Hominidae > Homo > Homo sapiens. The sequence continues at coordinate 85,506,066 of NC_000004.12, read as the reverse complement.
GCTGTTCTGCAGCCTCCACTGATGATACCCAGGCAAACAGGGTCTGGAGTGGACCTCCAGCAAAGTCCAACAGACCTGCAGCTGAGGGACCTGACTGCTAGAAGGAAAACTAACAAGCAGAAAGGAATAGCATCAACATCAACAAAAAGTACATCTACACCAAAACCCCATCTGTAGGTCACCAACATCAAAGACCAAAGGTAGATAAAACCACAAAGATGGGGAGAAACCAGGGCAAAAAGTTGAAAATTCTAAAAACCAGAGCACCTCTTCTTCAAAGGATCGCAGCTCCTCACCTGCAATGGAACAAAGCTGGATGGAGAATGACTTTGACGAGTTGATAGAACTAGACTTCAGAAGATCGGTAATAACAATCTTCTCTGAGCTGAAGGAGCATGTCCTAACCCATCACAAGCAGAAGCTAAAAGCCTTGAAAGAAGGTTAGACAAATGGCTAACTGGAACAAACAGTGTAGAGAAGACCTTAAATGACCTGACAGAGCTGAAAACCATGGCATTAGAACTTTGTGACGCATGCACAAGCTTCAATAGCCAATTTGATGAAGTGGAAGAAAGGGTATCAGTGATTGAAGATCAAGTTAATAAAATAAAGTGAGAAGACAAGTTTAGAGAAAAAAGAGTAAAAAGAAACAAACAATGCCTCCAAGAAATATGGGACTATGTGAAAAGACCAAATCAACGTTTGATTGGTGTACCTGAAAGTGACAGGGAGAATGGAACCAAGTTGGAAAACACTCTTCAGGATATTATCCAGGAGAACTTCCCCAATATAGCAAGGCAGGCCAACATTCAAATTCAGGAAATACAGAGAACACCACAAAGATACTCCTCGAGAAGAGCAACCCTAAGACACATAATTGTCAGATTCACCAAGGTTGAAATGAAGGAAAAAATGTTAAGGGCAGCCAGAGAGAAAGGTCTGGTTACTCACAAAGGGAAGCCCATCAGACTAATAGCAGATCTCTCCACAGAAACCCTACAAGCCAGAAGAGAGTGGGAGCCAATATTCAACATTCTTAAAGAACAGAATTTTTCAACCCAGAATTTCATATCCAGCCAAACTAAGCTTCATGAGTGAAGGGAAAATAAAATCCTTTACAAACAAGCAAATGCTGAGAGATTTTGTCACCACCAGGCCTGCCCTAAAAGAGCTCCTGAAAGAAGCACTAAACATGGAAAGGAACAACTGGTGCCAGCCACTGCAAAAACATGCTAAATTGTAAAGACCATCGATGCTATGAAGAAACTGCATCAATTAACAGGCAAAATAATCAGCTAACATCATAATGACAGGATCAAATTGACATATAACAATATTAACCTTAAATGTAAATGGGCTGAATGTTCCAATTAAAAGACACCAACTGGCAAACTGGATAAAGAGTCAAGACCCATCAGTGTGCTGTATTCAGGAGACCCGTCTCATGTGCAGAGACGCACATAGGCTCAAAATAAAGGGATGGAGGAAGATCTACCAAGCAAATGGAAAACAAAAAAAGGCAGGGGTTGCAATCCTAGTCTCTGATAAAACAGACTTTAAACCAACAAAGATCAAAAGAGACAAAGAAGGCCATTACATAACGGTAAAAGGATCAATTCAACAAGAAGAGCTAACTATCCTAAATATATATGCACCCAATAGAGGAGCACGTCCTGATTCATAAAGCAAGTCCTGAGTGACCTACAAAGAGACTTAGACTCCCACACAATAATAATGGGAGACTTTAACACCCCACTGTCGATATTAGACAGATCAATGAGACGGAAGGTTAACAAGGATATCCAGGACTTGAACTCAGCTCTGCACCAAGCAGACCTAATAGACATCTACAGAACTCTCCACCCTAAATCAACAGAATATACATTCTTCTCAGCACCACATCGCACTTATTCTTAAACTGACCACATAATTGGAAGTAAAGCACTCCTCAGCAAATGTGAAAGAACAGAAATCACAATAAACTGTCTCTCAGACTACAGTGCAATCAAATTAGAACTCCAGATTAAGAAACTCACTCAAAACCACACAACTACATGGAAACTGAACAACCTGCTCCTGAATGACTACTGGGTAAATAACTAAATGAAGGCAGAAATAAAGATGTTCTTTGAAACCAATGAGAACAAAGACAGAACATACCAGAATCTCTGGGACACATTTAAAGCAGTGTGTACAGGGAAATTTATAGCACTAAATGCCCACAAGAGAAAGCAGGAACGATCTAAAATTGACACCCTAACATCACAATTAAAAGAATTAGAGAGGCAAGAGCAAACAAATACAAAAGTTAGCAGACGGTAAGAAATAACTAAGATCAGAGCAGAACTGAAGGAGACAGAGACACAAAAAACCCTTCAAAAAATCATTGAATCCAGGAGCTGGTTTTTCAAAAATTTCAATGAAATTGATAGACTGCTAGCAACACTAATAAAGAAGAAAAGAGAGAAGAATCAAATGGATGCAATAAAAAATGATAAAGGGCATATCACCACCAATCCCACAGAAAAACAAACTACCATCAGAAAATACTATAAACGCCTCTATGCAAATAAACTAGAAAATCTAGAAGAAATGGATAAATTTCTGAACACATACACCCTCCCAAGACTAAACCAGGAAGAAGATGAATCTCTGAATAGACCAATAACAGGCTCTGAAATTGAGGCAATAATTAACAGCATACCAACCAAAAAAGTCCAGGACCAGATGGATTTATAGCCGAATTCTATCAGAGGTACAAAGAGGAGCTGGTACCATTCCTTCTGAAACTATTCCAATCAATAGAAAAAGAGGGAATCCTCCCTAACTCATTTTATGAGGCCAGCATCATCCTGATACGAAAGCCTGGCAGAGACACAACAAAAAAGAGAATTTTAGACCCATATCCCTGATGTTCATCGATGCAAAAATCCTTAGTAAAAAACTGGCAAACTGAATCCAGCAGAACATCAAAAAGCTTATCCACTACGATCAAGTCGGCTTCATCCCTGGGATGCAAGGCTGGTTCAACATATGCAAATCAATAATTGTAATCCATCACATAAACAGAACCTACGACAAAAACCACATGATTATCTCAATAGATGTAGAAAAGGCCTTCAACAAAATTCAATAGCACTTCATGCTAAAAACTTTCAGTAAACTAAGTATTGATGGAACATATCTCAAAATAATAAGAACTATTTATGACAAACAAAGCCAATATCACTCTGAATGGGCAAAAATTTGAAGCATTCCCTTTGAAAACTGGCACAAGACAAGGATGCCCTCTCTCACCACTCCTATTCAACATAGTGTTGGAAGTTCTGGCCAGGGCAATCAAGCAAGAGAAAGAAATAGAGGGTATTCAATTAGGAAAAGAGGAAGTCAAATTGTCCCTGTATGGAGATGACATGATTCTATGTTTAGAAAACCCCACCTTCTGAGCCCAAAATCTCCTTAAGCTGATAAGCAACTTCAGCAGAGTCTCAGGATACAAAATCAATGTGTAAAACTCACAAGCATTCCTATACACCAATAACAGACAGAGAGCCAAATCATGAGTGAATTCCTATTCACAATTACTACAAAGAGAATAAAATACCTAGGAATCCAACTTACAAGGGATGTGAAGGACCTCTTCAAGTAGAACTACAAACCACTGCTCAACAAAATAAAAGAGGACACAAACAAATGGAAGAACATTCCATGCTCATGGATAGGAAGAATCAATATCATGAAAATGGCCATACTGCCCAAGGTAATTTATAGATTCAATGCCATCCCCATCAAGCTACCAATGACTTTCTTCACAGAATTGGAAAAAACTACATTAAAGTTCATATGGAACCAAAAAAGAGCCCACATTGCCAAGACAATCCTAAGCAAAAAGAACAAAGCTGGAGACATCACACTGTCTGACTTCAAACTATACTACAAGGCTACTGTAACCGAAATAGCATGGTATTGGTACCAAAACAGAGATATAGACCAATGGAACAGAACAGAGGCCTCATAAATATCACCGCATATCTACAACCATCTGATCTTTGACAAACCTGACAAAAACAAGAAATGGGGAAAGGATTCCCTATTTAATAAATAGGGCTGGGAAAACTGGCTAGCCATATGTAGAAAGCTGAAACTGGATCCCTTCCTTACACCTTATACAAAAATTAATTCAAGATGGATTAAAGACTTTAATGTTAGACCTAAAACCATAAAAACCCTAGAAAAAAAAACTAGGCAATACCATTCAGGACATAGGCATAGGCAAAGACTTCATGACTAAAACACAAAAAGCAGTAGTGACAAAAGCCAAAATAGACAAATGGGATCTAATTAAACTAAAGAGCTTCTGCACAGCAAAAGAAACTACCATCAGAGTGAACAGGCAACCTACAGAATGGGAGAAAATTTTTGCAATCTACCCATCTGACAAAGTGCTAATATCCAAATTCTACAAAGAACTTAAACAAATTCACAAGAAAAAAACAACCCCATCAAAAAGTGGGTAAAGGATATGAACAGACACTTCTCAAAAGAAGACATTTATGCAGCCAACAGACACATGAAAAAATGCTCATCATCACTGGCCATCAGAGAAATGCAAATCAAAACCACAATGAGATACCATCTCAAGCCAGTTAGAATGGCCATCATCAAAAAGTCAGGAAACAACAGATGCTGCAGAGGATGTGGAGAAATAGGAATGCATTTACACTGTTGGTGGGACTGTAAACTAGTTCAACCATTGTGGAAGACAGTGTGGCAATTCCTCAAAGATCTAGAACTAGAAATACCATTTGACCCAGCCATCCCATTACCAGGTGTATACCCAAAGGATTATAAATCATGCTACTATAAAGACACATGCACACATATGTTTATTGTGGCACTATTCACAATAGCAAAGACTTGGAACCAACCCAGATGTTCATCACTGATAGATTGGATTAAGAAAATGTGGCACATATACACCATGGAATACTATTCTATTCAGACATAAAAAAGGATGAGTTCATGTCTTTGCAGGGACATGGATGAAGCTAGAGACCATCATTCTGAGCAAACTATCACAAAGACAGAAAACCAAACACCGCATGTTCTCACTTGTAGGTGGGAATTGAACAATGAGAACACTTGGACACTGGGTGGGGAACATCACACACCAGGGCCTGTTGGTGGGGGGGTGGGAGGCTGGGGGAGGAACAGCGTTAGGAGAAATACCTAATGTAAATGACGAGTGGATGGGTGCAGCAAACCAACATGGCACATGTATACCTATGTAACAAACCTCCCCGTTGTGCACATGTACCCTAGAACTTAAAGTATCATCATAATAAAAAAGTCTTATGAGTCCCCATATTCCATTCTGAGGCCATGAGCTTTCCACATCTGAGATGATTCATAGTTATTGCTTAATTTAAATGCATCATGTGATATAATTATAACAACATATTTTGCTTAGTTAATCCTGACTAAAATAAATTACTTTAAAAGTTATAAGAAGGAAATCTGGAACAAGAAAAACATTTTGGTAAACATTTATACAGTCCTCACTCTAAATATTCCTAGTTGTTTTAATGAGTTGGTACTTATTAGGACAGTACTATTACCATTTAGTTAATAATCTGTATTCTCAGTAATAAAGTTTTCAAATTATTTTCCAAGGACATATTTCATCACTGATTAATACATTTTTATTCCCTTGTAGAGCCATGGCACTGAAATGAATACCAGGGAACACCAGACTTCTCAGTTTCCAGCACTACAGAAATCTGGGCTGTCATAAGCATCTGGATGAGTACTGTCCCATAGGAATATAATAGAAGCCACATTTTAAATTTTCTAGTATCTACATTAAAAAGGTAAAAAGAAACAGGTGAAATTAATCTTAATAACCTATTTTAAACCCAACATACCCAAAATATATCATTGCAACATGTAAACATACTTCAAAATATTAGTGAAAATTTTATATTCTTTTTTTCATACTATGTCTTAAAAATCTAGTGTGTATTTTACATTTCCAGTACATCTCAATTTGGATGCTAAATTTTATCACAAATACTTAGTTGGTATTAGGCTTCATAAAATTTACAGTTTAAAAAGTAGATCTCCAGAGGTGAGTTGTTCCCCCAATAAGCTTAACTTTTTTTCCAATAATTAAAAATAGTACCGATTATTAAACTTAAATATAAGTTCATTAAAATTAAAGTTAGAAACTTAAAAACTCTGTTCCTCATTCATACTAACCTCAATGCATATGATCATTAGCTGTGCCTACCACACGGAACAGCACAGACCTAGATGAGTCTCTATAGAGATTTCTTCTTCCGTACTCATCTTTAAGCCAAATGTTTCTTTGTCTTATTCTGGTTTATTCTTTGTTGTTTAATGCTTCCCTTCTCTAAGAGGTGATAATGAAAGATAGTCATAGTAGCTAATATTCTAGGAGCCAATCTTGGCCCCACCAAGGCTGCAGGCTAGGTAAGAGCTCTCTTCATTTGAACCTCTGGAGAATATTCTTAATTTTTCATAGCTTCAAATATTTAGACCTTGAATCGTCACCAAAGACAAGAGGAAAACAGGAAACGAAGTGGTGATAAAGGCTTTCTAGTTTTCCTCTAGTATTTCTCTCCCACTTAAAGCCATGTGAATGCTTGCTAGTGATAGTATATGCTATCTTCTGAATGATTCTAAAGCAGAGTATTTCATTAACATTGAAATCAAATAGAGAGATTGTTTATAAAACTAGAGGCTTGAAATTCTAATATGAACTAAACCTATCATCAATGCCCTTTTTAGACCAGTCACTTAGAAGGTCATACATTTATTTTAGCAATGCTGCCATTACCAAATACATATTTATATATTCTTTCAAATGTTGGTATATGTTCTCACTCTAAAATAATATATCTGATTTAAATTCGAAGACATTCTAAGCAAGGTCTAATGAAAGTGATAACCACTTAGTAATAACTACGAAGCAAACAACAACAAGCTGATTATAAATAAGAATAAGCTGTGGAATAAATGAGAGGAGCTTAACTGTGAGGTTTCTTCTCTAATCTCATGGATGACACTAGTTTATACAGTGAAATTCTAAGTTGTCTGAAGCAAATAAAAGAAAAAATAAATGTATGACAATATTTGAAAATAATAAGTTCTCAATTTGTTCCTTTCCTTTTAGAGGGAACTTTCATTTTCTTAGAAGTATGGATAAGTGCTTACTGATTATTAACAGCTACATTTAATTTACTAATACAAGTATCATACAAGATGGTGAAATTTTTCATAAATATTCTTGAAGTTTAGTGTAGAGAAGGCTCACTCGAGCAATCTGTTAGAATCTAGATTCCTGGGATCAATTCCCCACGATTCTAATTCTTCTCTAGGCTTTAGGAGAGAAAGACTGTCTTTAGTCTCTTCACTTCCTTGTGGCTAAGATGACTACACGGGCCTGTGGTCTCCTCACTTCCTTGTGGCCAAGACATCTACACAGGCCCGTGGATTTCCCCATTTGGGGCAGGGAGTTAGGGCTGTTCAGCACGAGGCTGAGCTCACAAACAGGGCACAGGTCACTCTCTTCTAGGGCTCTCCTCCTTTTTCCATTAATATAATTGAAAAATTTAGAATACCAAAGTAAGTAGGTCACAGAGAAGATAGCAACACAACTATTCAGTCTGCTTTCTCTCTAGTGTTGGCTTAAAGGAGCAAGGAAAGCACACACAAAGCTAGCATGGCCAGGCCCAGCTCCCTAGTCCACAAGCCACATCATAATTTGATGTTAGGAGCCAACCCAGGTATAAGATGGCCATTATTTTACTGTGTCCTTAATTCCCCTGTAGTAGGTGTCTGGATGAGATTCAAGATATTAGTCACCTTTGACACATTATCACAAATTCTTGGCAAACAAGTATTTTGTTTCCTCACAAAAATCTCCTTGTTCTTGTTACCAAAGAAAAGAAAATAAACTATTAGCTTGTGCATTTATTTTACTTGCATAAAGGACTCTACACTTTTTATTAACCAACTTAAGAGAAAAAGGAACTCAACCATAATTACCTCTTGTTTTATTTAGAATAGAAATTTACAAGTTGGAGAAGGAAATTGAACACCGAGGGAGACCCAAACCTGGCAAAACTGCCGTGTGTTCAAAGACTGTTACAACAGTAAAACTAAAAAGTTAGGGACATGGTGCTGCATTTCTTTTCCTTTTCTTTCTTTCTTTTGTTTTTTTCCAGACTGAGTTTTGGTCTTGTCACCCAGACTGGAGTGCAATGGCACGATCTTGGCTCACCGCAACCTCCACCTCCTGGGTTCAAGCAATTCTCCTGCCTCATTCTCTCATTTAGCTAGGATTATAGGCCTGCACCACCACGTCCAGCTAATTTGTATTTTTAGTAGAAATAGGGTTTTACCAGGTTGGTCAGGCTGGTCTCCATCTCCAGACCTCAGGAGATCCACCTGCCTCAGCCTCCCAAATTGCTGGAATTACAGGCATGAGCCACTGTGCCTGGCCGGTGCTGCATTTCTTAATTTAGCATAGAAGAACTGATTTTGCAGATATACATTTTTAATGTTGACAATTAGTAGCAGTGGACAAGAAGATAATATATTTTGCATTTATATAATTATTTCAAAGTGACTTCTCTCCCACAATTAATCTTTACAAAATTTCTGAGAAATAAGTATTATTTTCTAGACGCTGAATTTAAAGCTCACAGAAGTTGTTTTCCCAGTGTTACACAGAGTACTTTGACAGAGCTGAGACATGAAACTTTATCTCTAGGTCTCACCAAAGCACATGATTTTGTACCCTGATTGGGCTTGTCAGGAATGGATGGGGCATGGTGGGATTTATTCACCAACATCTGTGACTAATAAGCTCAGTTGGTTGGGATATTTCCAATCCTTTCTTCTTTACTACTTCTATTAGTCACCAAGTTTAATCGTTTTAACCGTTTCATATTTCCTGATTCCATTCCTTCCTCTTTATCAACAGTGTACAAATTCACACTAAACTCGGGGCATTTGCCAAATATCCAATATTCTCATAACACGGCTTTGCATGTGGGTTCCCTTTGCCCAAAATGACTTCCTTCCTTGTCCACTTGTAAACATCACAAAATGACTTTTTTTTGGTTCATTCCTAAATTTCATACTCATTTCTCTGTATTTTGTTGGCGGGACTTTTCTCAGAAAGGATAGACTTTCACCAAAACACATTTGGGTAATATTAATTTCCCAAAAGGTTTTTGACCTGTCACCAAAGTATGGGTGCTAGTGTCCGTAGTTAGACATCTACAAAACTCGTGTGAAAATGTGGTGCAAACCATGAACTATGGGGCACCTAAGACTCTGCCTTTTTTATTATTACCACTTAATATACCCGGGAGCTTGCTACATGTTAATCTTCACAGTGTTGCATGGCCATTTTTATCAGTATGCTGTTGAACTTCACGGTTGTGATTTGAAACCTGTCCAATGTGATGTGACATATATTTGTGGTCAAAAGGTGATCTACACATCATGCAAAACGTTAAAATCTTCTCAAAAGTCAGAGGAGAAATATATTTCTTCAGAGAAGAGTTGTTTGCTGTTGGTTATGAAAAGTAAACAAACAAACATTCCCACCATAGCAAGGATTCCTGTGCACATATTCACAGTAACTGTGATAGACCTATTTCTGCTGAAAGCCCTGTCCTATGGTAAAACTCACAAGCTGTTTCTGTTTTACAAATGCTAAGCCTGAAAGGCACATGCAACCAAAAGCTCTCCCAGATTTCGGCAGGAAAAGGGTGAAAATGCCATATTGATGACTCTCTTATTAAATCTCAGTAAATAAACACCGGTGGTATCTTCCTTTTCATGGTTCCCGGTAACTCTAAACACTCACTCTTCATAAGCCAAGAAGTTACAAAAATGTTGGCATTTGTATAAAAGAAAACAGAACTTTGTAATCACTAAGTGTGACTAGGAGGAAGAGTGCTTCACTGAAAGAAAGAGTTCGCTATTCTATTTATGATAAAAGATGAAAATCTCACAACAAAGATAACAGTAGGCTAACTACTTCCCATGTTCTCTAGGGTTTGGGGAGCTACAAAGTCAAAATGAGACACAAACAAATTCTATAAAATATGTGATACTATAAAAGGATTAAAATTTTCTTTCACTATCCAAGAGAAATAATGCTGACAGTCATAAATTACAGCTAAGGAGAGACAGCTGAGCACTGAATCACTCTCATGCCTCTGTCTACTTCTATGTAGGCATCAGAAAATGCTTTCAACGCCTGCCATGCTGTAGAGTATTACATTCTGATACACTGTTAAAAATAGACACACTACTAGTAGTCAATCTCCCCTCATATCCTGTAATTCCTGATTAATAATAGTAAAATTTTTCTGGGCCAGGCACGGTGGCTCACGCCTGTAATCCCAGCACTTTGGGCGGCCGAGGCGGGCGGATCACCAGGTAAGGAGATTGAGACCCATCCTGGCTAACACGGTGAAAACCCGTCTCTACTAAAAATATAAAAAAATTAGCTGGGCGTGGTGGCGGGCGCCTGTAGTCCCAGCTACTCGGGAGGCTGAGGCAGGACAATGGCATGAACCCGGGAGGCAAGGCTTGCAGTGAGCCGAGATCGCGCCACTACACTCCAGCCTGGGCAACAGAGTGAGACTCCATCTCAAAAAAAAAAAAAAAAAAAAAAAAAAATTCTGTACTTCTGTACTTACTTGACTTGGCCTACTTCTCCCCTTTTCAGCTTCTACTAGCCGCTCTCTTCCTTCTGACCCTTTACCTCTTCGCTGAAACCCGGAAACAAATCAAGGAAAGAAAGAAGTGTAAAGATACTGTTCATACTCGGTCATTTATAGGTCATGTCTTTCAGGAAGACAAAATGGTTTGTAAAAGTGGAGGGTCATTTTTGGCTCAGGTCACTCTTTTTTTTTTTTTTTTTTTTGAGACGGAGTCTCGCACTGTCGCCTGGGCTGGAGTGCAGTGGCGCGATCTCGGCTCACTGCAAGCTCCGCCTCCCGGGTTCATGCCATTCTACCTCAGCCTCTCGAGTAGCTGGGACTACAGGCGCCCGCCACCCCGCCCAGCTAATTTCTTGTATTTTTATTAGAGACGGAGTTTCACTATGTTGGCCAGACTGGTCTCGAACTCCTGACCTCATGATCTCCCCACCTTGGCCTCCCAAAGTGCTGGGATTACAGGCGTGAGCCATCGCGCCCGGCCAGGTCACTCTTTTTCTTGAGAGTTTTCATGAAGTTTTATCTTGTATTCCGTTACAGAAACTTGAAAGAAGGCTATTTTCTGTTATTTTATTTCCTACATGACAGACTTAATTTTTTTTATTTTTTATTTTTTTTTTTGAGACAGAGTCTCGTTCTGTCACCAGGCTGGAGTGCAATGGTGCAATCTTGGCTCACTGCAACCTCCACTTCCTGGGTTCAAGCTGTTCTCCTGCCTCAGCCTCCCGGGTAGCTGAGACTACAGGCTCCACCACGCCCAGCTAATTTTTGTATTTTTAGTAGAGACGTGGTTTCACCATGTTGGCCAGGATGGTCTCGATCTCTTGACCTCGTGTTCCACCCGCCTTGGCCAATATTAAAGATATTAAAAGAGTAAAAAAAAAATGTATAATAATGTTACATATAACACAGGAACAGAAAACCAAACACTGTATGTTCTCACTCATTAAGTGGGTGTTGAACAATGAGAACACATGGACACAGAGAGGGGAACCACACACACGATGTTGGGGGATGGGGTGTGAGGGGAGGGAAGTTAGAGGATGGGTCAGTAGGTGCAGCAAATCACCATGGCACATGTATACGTATGTAACAAAGCTGCACGTTCTGCATATCCATACCATTTTTTTAGAAGAAATAAAGAAAAAAAAGAAAACATGATAGAAATATGAGGCTTCATTTTCATATCAACAACAAAGCAAGTATTAAAATCAGTCTATTAAAAAATACAACCTTGATTTGTAGACAACTCACTTAAGTATGTAAATATTCAGGTCAACATGAAGTCACCATAGTTTTCCTTGTAGGTCAAAGCACAAAATTTTTCACGATGAGGAAGAGAAGAAAAGTAACTTAGGAAATAAAGCGTTTTGACCCTATATTCTAAGGCTAAATATTGTACTCTTGTTAGTAAATATTTTTCACAGAAGTATGGATGAACAATTCTGAAAGTACTTTATGTGTATGGAAGATTTAAGCAAATAAGTAAATAGACTGTAGAAAAAAGGAGATACGTTCTTTTGTGAATAAGCACAAGTAACACCCAGATTTTTGGTTTCTAAATTCTATTCTTTAATAACAGAAATCTGGTGTCTTTAGAAAATGATTGACTCATGGGCTGGATCAAATGGAGTACAAGAAGAGCCTAGAGTGTCTTGTGGTACCAGAAAAGAAGAATGTTCAAAAATGATGGTGATATGAAGAAAGGGCACAAGAGCCAACTTAAAGGGCTTCCAATGGTCAAATGTGGACAATTTGAGCAACAAAATAAATATCAGTTGTAATGGATTATAGCTCACAGAATGAAACAGATACCCACGAGTCCATACTGATATACATAAATAATTGAAAGTAAGTAAGTGGGGGGTAAGGGAAAACTTCCGCGTAGAAGAATTTTAACTAATAATGGTAGAAGGAATTATGAAGATAGAAAATCGCCATTTGGCAAACACCATAGTGACAACTGTTTCAGGCAAGAATGATCAATGAGTACAAAATTCATAGCTGAAAGTATGATAGAAAAAACTGGTCATTTACATAGTATCTCTCCACATAATGCTTATTAGTTACAGAAAGTAAACTAGCAACTTTATAGTAGAGAAACCTGGCCAGCCTAGAATGAATAATTGGAGTTAACATCAGTAGTATTTAGACAAATTGACATCATGCGCTTCCTGATATGATGCACTGAGAAGGGGACAGCCCTAATTCTATGGTACTCTTGCCAAAAATGTACAACCTGACTTTTATTATCAGAACACAAAGTGAGAGACATTCTCCAAAATACCTGGTCACTAGACTTCAAAAGTGTCAAGATCTCGTAAGATACGGAAAGACTACCCAGATTGGAGGAAACTAAGAGACATGACAAATAAATGTTGTGTATGATTTCGGTTTGTCTCTTACTCTAGAAAAAGGACATTGGTGAGATAACTGATGAAATTTGAATAACAACTACAGATTAGTTAATAGTATTTTATCAGTGTTAATTTTCTGGTTTTGATAACTCTAAAATGCTAACATTTAGAAAAGGTTATATGGGAATACATTTTGCAATTTTTTATGTTTCAAATTATTTTGAAATAAAAAGTTAAAAAAATAAAATATAGATTTTGAAATGTCCTGTGACACTGAATAGTGACTCTCTTTGATAGTAAATCTCAGTAGCAATAAGTATCATTTGTAACATGAAATGTTTTCAGCCATGTTATCCCGTTTGGCAATTATCCCCATTTAAAAAAATGTTTTAAGTGGCTTGGCACTGTTAGTGAATGTTAGAGCAGACTGACTCTTTAAATATAGGCTTTTTTGAATCCATTATCACAGTAATATTTATCAAACCAGCTGCTTATCTGGTTTTACATTTCCATAAAAGCTTTATGAGGATAGGAGTAGAAAGGAGGAGCTAATAATAATTATACAACAGTTCATTCAAGCAGTTTTGAACAATTAAAGTGAAATATTTAGTCCATGGCTTTGGAGTCCAAAAGAAACGAAGATATCGACCAGGATAGCACATCCTGGAAATGTGTAACTGAAGAAGAAAGAGGGCCAATAAACACCATGACCAGTAATAATAAGAAGAAGGAATAGAGGAAGAAAAAGATCATAAGAAAGTTTGGTCCTTAGAGGAAACTGATATGACAAGGTTCTAGGGTAATAAAGAGAAAAGGCAAAGAACAGAAGAAGGAAGGAAGGGAGGGAAGGAGGGAGGAGGGAAGAGGGAGGAAATACGGGAGGAAGAGGGAATGGCGAGGAAGAGAGAGAGGAAATAAAAAGAACCAAAATGGAAGAAAGACAAAAGACAAAAAAGTGGTTAGAGAAAGAATAGAAACAAGACATTTAACTTCAAAGAGGAAGGGGCCTATCACTTTGAATTAGAATAAAAGTAAATAAGCTGGTGATGTGGTCCCTCACTCACAGCTGTCACCTGCTCAGTATAGTTTCAAATTCATTAGAATTCAGAACATGAAGCAGCTGAAACTTCTAAGGGAGTTCAACTTGAGGCTAATTCAATGAGATAGCACTCCAGACACCCAGAGGCATTAGAGGTTCTCATCACAAGACACTTGGTTGACAGTACTCTGGCCAGAGCCCTCCTTGGGCTAAGAAACAAGTATAGATTCAGGGCAACAGCCTAGATAAAAACCATCAGTTCCAAGTCCCCAGGAAGTACCTAGTGCACACAGAACCCCTCTTGGGACTCCTACTCAGCATAATTGCTCCCTCCAGCCTGGTTTCCACACAGCTGTGTGTGTGTGTGTGTTAAACAGACCCAAGGTGATTTCTGGATAATGTCCAAGTTGAAATACAGCCTAGCTGATTTATTAATTAAAATAATTGAAAAAGTCCAAGAACAGTAAGTGGCAATTAATACCAGAATAGAACAGTTTCTGTTACTTATTTTTATAATTATATTTCTGAATTTGATATTTAAAGTTAAACACAAAAATTAGCAGAGGAAATGAGAGATAACAAAATTGTTATTTTTCTTAAGGGCTTACTTTAAATGGAAGAATGTACCACATTAGCCATCAATAAGCTAAAAAATTATGATCTAAAACCAATCATTAATTATGAAAAAGTTATCAACTTAAAATTACATTATTTTTATGTGATGAATTACAAGACATTTGGTATTATGCACCATTTTGTCATAACCTCCAAGGGGACAAAACAAGATAATAAGGTAATTGATCAACCTAAAGTAACAAGTTTTGTATGACCCTTATAAATACCAATTGCAGGTGGAAAAAAAGATTCAATCTTGCTTAAATAACAGGAGAATGTAAAACTAAACAAACCTATTATATTAAGCAAAGGCAAATAGGAGTTTGCAGAAAGAAGCATTTGTGTTGGAATAAACATATGAAGATGAGAAAAATCTGAGATATTTGGAATTATATTGAGTGGTCCCTGTGGGGAAAATTTTTATTAATAAATTCTACAATTATCAAGGCTTTTATAATGTCTGGTCATACAAGCTCTGTTTTGGGGCAAAATAACAAATCTTTTTGATTCCATCAAATACTAGTCACTGGCCACTAATTCACCACAAACAAAAAGTGCTAAATTCATAGACCTGCAAGAGGTAAATGCATCATTCTAATAAGAGCTAGGGCTAATTAAAACCTTCCTCAAAGCTCCCAAACAAATGTTCCATGGCTTGATTGTTTAACTATAATTCTTAATGGTCAGACAATAATGATGCTTCCCTGCCTCTTATTAAAATCAATTATGGCACGAAATTCAGAAAGGGTAAACTGGTTCATGTGTGAATGAATTCTAAAGAGAATTGTAATTTAACAATGGAATACCAGGAAATTGCAAAGCAAAAGAACTACCAACTCAAGAAAAAGCATCTAATATCTTTATTTCAAAGCAAAGCTCAGATTTAAGGCAAAATATAACCTGGTTCCTATGAACCAGAGGCCTCTGCTGACTGCCTCCAAGCCTGTAAACACAGTCTTAAATTGTTCTAGCTACAATTTATGGGTCAACATTGGTATCAGGAATCAATCTCTAATCTTGTAAGCAATCACTAGACCTGTTCCCTAACTACCTTGACAAAAAGCATCACCAACTGTAATTCAGCATATCTCAGGCTAATACAAAATATCACCAGTAATTTTATCACATTCTACCTTAACATGACATATATATTTATTCTCCCTCTCCCTCCCATTTCTGCCCCCTCCAGGCCCATGGTAATATGACCTTTGCATGTCATTTACTCTTGCTGAATTATTCTAGCATTTCACATTAATAATACAGCTCATAAATGATGTCATACACTAATTGCTTGGCATTTCCATCAAATAGTTCAATATAATTTTATTTTACTTAATGGCTATTTCTAAGAGATTAAGAAAATCTTCGTTACATCAAACTAACAGAAAACAGCAGTAAAAACATGCCACTATTATTATTGCTCCTTATTTGGTCCGAGTGTTACTTGCTAAACAAGTAAGTTCTAACCCTCACAAGCCACTGCTGTCCTATTCTTGCTTGGAAATATATATCAGAAGCACAGTCCCAGAAGGGACACCATTGAGCCATGAGCAAATGTCGGAAGGAAATCTAAGTATTTAGTATTCTTTCTTTTGAGCTACAGAAATAACCCAGTGTTTCTGAGACCACATCCTATATTTTTCAAAGCTTCCTGCAAAGGTTTGTGGAGCAGCATTCTCTGGCACCCCACAGCTCAGCTGCACAAAGGGCTCACCTTGCTCCAGATGAAGAGTCTGTCTCACCCAGCTGAGCCATGAGCTGCAGGGCCAACTGGCTCTATTTGACCTCTCCTGTTTAAGAAAGGAGTCCCTCTGAGTCATCAAGTCCCAGTCTCAGGCTCATGTCAGGGAAGCTAAGGATACTCCCTGGAATGTTCCACAAATTAAACAGTCAAGGATGGGACTGCAAACAGAGAGATAATAAAAGCCCTGCACAGAAACAACTCTCCCTGTTTCTCAGATTTGCACAGCAGTCATCATGAGCTGAATCCTCTTTTTCTCTCCTCATCCATTCTCTCACTCACCTTCAGTGATTATTTGACTGGTCAAGGCAGTGCTTAAAGAGATTAACCCGTTATTTTTCGTTTTTATTTTTACTTTCTGCATGAAATCTCTTAAGTGTTAAATGCCATCAGACTTATTTGTTGTTTTTCAGGCACATGAAGATCATAAAATAATGTACAATTCTGATGTGGTTTGAAGGCTGAATTAATTGAAAATCTACAGTGTGGAGAATATTCAATTTACTTTAAATGGGTTCAAACATAATTAATATTATTACAAGGAATGTAGAAGGAATTAGCTTAAAAATGTAACCAAAAACAAGTTACAAGTTACACCTTGAAATCAATATGGTACAATTTTCAGCTGCCTTTAGGGTTAATCTAAGCTCCATAAAAATGCTTTCAAAGATGTTAATTACACATTCTCTTTCTCTTTTTGAGCCAAAATGTTTCTCATCTAAACAATGGAACACAGAAAATCATACTAGTGACTCTTTTCTCCATTTTTGCCAAAGATGGTACTTAACTAGTACCCTTCTAGTTGCAAAGCAGAAGAGGCAATTCATTATATGCATCAGATGTCTTAGGAGAGCATTTAAGTTCAATTTTCTCAAGGAACCCCAGGTGAGAAAGGCTCCTGAGAAATAGGCCAGCTGCCAAAGTTCAAGAGGCTGGTATGCTTGTTCCTCACGTGTCCTGGGGCAAATCACCTCAATCACTTTGGATTCATTTTCCAATGGAAAGATTGGAGGAGAGATGGTAATAGCTGTTTTCTAAGCAGGCTTTTATTCTGAAGTCCTATGAATTTATTCTAAGAGGACCTACAATGCTGTATTTCATTTAGAATAAATTTTAATTTGTTATTGGACTGCTGTGGAGGCCTAGCTAGATAGTAAACATGAAAGATTAAAAGACTTTTTATTTATATTTCTGTAATTTTATTCTTCTCCTCTAATCTAAACTTTCACCAAATTTATAGGAAAGGTGAAGTTATACATTTAAATTACACCTCCCTTTTCCCCCTCTCCACAGGAGGTGTTAAGACCCAGGTTTAGCAAAAAAAAAGTCGGAGGGAGCAGGAATTTCTTTCGTGGAAAATATCAAGGTGGCTTCGGCTTGCTAGGCAACAATTTTATCCATACAACACCTTTCATACCCACAGTGTCTCACAGCTGAACAGAAGCAGTAGTTTAAAAAATATACACAACAAAAAATTAGCCGGGCGTGGTGGCCGGCGCCTGTAGTCCCCAGCTACTCAGGAGGATGAGGCAGGAGAATGGCGTGAACCCAGGGGGCAGAGCTTGCAGTGAGCCGAGATCACGCCACTGCACTACAGCCCGGGCGACAGAGCAAGATTCTGTCTCTAAATAAATAAATATATATATATAAAATATATTTATTATATATATTATATATTTATATAATATATATAATAAATATATATTTATATAATATGTAATAAATATGTTTATATAATATGTAATAAATATATATTTATATAATATATAATAAATATATATTATATAATATATAATAAATATATATTATATAATATATAATATAAATATATATTTATATAATATAATAAATATATATTTATATAATATAATAAATATATGTTTATATAATATGTAATAAATATATGTTTATATAATATGTAATAAATATATGTTTATATAATATAATAAATATATATTTATATAATATGTAATAAATATATGTTTATATAATATGTAATAAATATATGTTTATATAATATGTAATAAATATATGTTTATATAATATGTAATAAATATATGTTTATATAATATGTAATAAATATATGTTTATATAATATATAATAAATATATATTTATATATTTATATAATATATAATAAATATATATTTACATGTTTATATAATATATATAAATATATATTTATATATTTATATATATTATAAATGTATATAAATTTATAATAAATATATATTTTATATATAATAAATATATATATTTACTATATATAAAATAAATATATATTTATATATAATAAATATATATTTACTATATATAAAATAAATATATATTTTTATATATATAAAATAAATATATATTTTTATATATATAAAATAAATATATATTTATATATATATACACACAAGCAACCAAGCAAACCAAGGACTTGACAAATGCAAGAAGTAAGATGAAAGAAAGAAATGAATTTTAAGAAAATGATCCTGTAATTTAAGTGTTTCCAAAGCAAAGTTCACCTTAAATTTGAAAACATTACAAAGGTTCTTGAAAAGGCCCTGGATGAGTCACTCCTGCTGAAGGAGCTTTATCCTTAGCCTGACCCAGAATTTACAAAGCCAATACAGATGCAGGAGGAGGCCAGCACAAGTTCAGGAGGAGCGATAGGAACTACTCAGTATATTGTACAGCACTGTTAATCTAGTAGCATTTCTTATCACAGGGAATGAAATCTATGCATGCAATGCTTTCATCATAGCATTTATTTGAACTCAAGCAATGTTTAGTTACATTGAATGGAAACTTCCGCAAGCCATTTCATTAAAAATATGGCTGTCATCAAGAAACTAGTAATTTAAAGGAACTATTACTAGTATGTCCTTAAGCTATGTTTGCTCACTGTACTAACAGAGCCAATATTTTCACTGCTTTTCTTACTGCATCGTCAATACATAGTGCTGAGAGCTGGAGGCTGTTCTCTCTCATGCATCATAAACACCAGTTGTCATCTTAGATATTGTTTGCATTTGTTTTACTGAAACAGCAGAAAGTATGACTTTATTTCCAATTTCCCAGATGATTTCACAAAATAAAGTTAAAACTCAATCTTTTAACTTAATTAGCCAGTTTCTCAATGGGGAGATCTTTTATATTTGAGGAAGAAAAATTCATTGTAGTGACGGACCATCATACACATATTGCAGGACATTTGGTATCTTGACCCTTGTATTAAATGCCAGTAGCTTCATCCAGTCATTGTCAAGATAAAAAAAAAACACCCTCATACATTTTCAAATTCCTCCTTGTTAGGGTATCACATATCCCCCCAAAACCACAGCTGATGAAAACTAGCCCAATGGTACATGAAATCTGTCAAGGAATGGTCACACTAAACTTTATCATGTTATAGATATCCCTTCCAGATCCTCACTCCTCTATAAAATCAAATAAATCAAATACCCATTTTTCAGAGTTCTGCCAAATGCATACACATAGCCACAGTCTTATCAAAATTATTCTAAATGACTGGGCACGGCAGCCTGTAATCCCAGCACTTTGGGAGGCCGAGGTGAGTGGAGCACTTGAGGTGAGGAGTTCAAGACCAGCCTGGCCAACATGGTGAAACCCCGTCTCTACTGAAAATACAAAAATAAAAAGTAGTCAGGCATGGTGGCGCATGCCTGTAATCCCAGCTACTCGGGAGGCTGAGGCAAGAGAATCATTTCAACCTGGGAGGCAGAGGTTGCAGTGAGCCAAGATCACCACTGCACTCCAGCCTGGGTGACAAAGTGAGACTGTCTCAAAAAAAAAAAAAAAACTGTTCAAAAGGAGCACACTGCCATTTGGCAGCATAGACTTTTCTATGTTGGAACAACCTTAAAAAGAATTTACTCTAGCCCTCTTATTTTACAGGTAAGGAGACTGAAGTCTAGAAAAACTAAGTGATTTGCCTGAGTTCTCAGGCACTAATTAATACCAGAGGTAGGATTAGAGTCCACATCTTCCCAAATCTTTTCTCAATGTCCTTTTCACTTTTCTCCAACCATAGCATTTATTTAAACAAAAAATAAAGGAGGACCTTTTGAAACATACAGTTAATATATATACCTACTGAAAGCCTACATTTTAAAAATCCAAGGAGATATATATATATATATATATATATATATATATATATATTTTTTTTTTTTTTTTTTTTTTTTTTTTTTGAGATGGAGTCTTGCTCTGTCACCCAGGCTGAAGTGTGGTGGTGCGATCTCGGCTCACTGCAAGCTCCACCTCCCAGGTTCACGCCATTCTCCTGCCTCAGCCTCCCGAGTATCTGGGACTACAGGCGCCCACCACCAAGCCCAGCTAATTTTTTGTATTTTTTTTAGTAGAGACGGGGTTTCACCGTGTTAGCCAGGATGGTCTCGATCCCCTGACCTCGTGATCCACCCGCCTTGGCCTCAACAAAGTGCTGGGCTTACAGGCGTGAGCCAGTGCGCCTGGCCCCAGGTCAATATTTTTTTAAGGAAAAAAACAAAAAAGAACACCTTCAAGTCTTTTCTAGCAAATCTGGATGCAGTGTTTTCAAATAGGATGCTTTTAAGTCTTAAAGCAAATACAGCCTACCAACCATAAACCAAATACAACAGTAAATGATGGCCAATGGCTCATGTCTGTAATCCTAGTACTTTGGGAGGCTGAGGCAGGCAGATGACTTGAGGTCAGGAGTTTGAGACCAGCCTGGCCAACATGGTGAAACCCCATCTCTACTAAAAAGACAAAAATCAGCCTGGCATGGTGGTGCACGCCTATAGTCCCAGCTACTCGGGAGGCTACGGCAGGAGAATCGCTTGAACCCAGGAGGTGGAATTTGCCGTGAGCCGAGATGGCACCACTGCACTCCAGCCTAGGCAGCAAGTGAGACCATGTCTCAAAGAAAAACATAAACAAAAACAGTAAATAACATTACACACAACGCACAAAGGGGGGTGAATAAAATATCATCTGCTTGCCCTTTTAAGTAATGACGTACAATCAACAAATATCTTAAATACACTCACTGTTTTCTTTGAGGAGAAAACAATTCTCAGTGTACAAATTTATATTTCCATTTTTATCAAATTTTTATCATCAATATTATTATTGCATTAACTCCATTTCCAATTTCCCATCTGCCTGTGCTTTTCAAAACAAATATGTCAATTAATAAAATACCCAGTGTTGTTTTTATGAATTTTTAATAATTTCTAATTTGACAGTCATTTAGGCATCTGAACTATTATCATTAAAATATTTCAAATTGAATATACTTTAGAGTCCCGGGCTCAGGGCAACATATAAACAATGTATAGTTCTAGAAGAAGGTACAGAATCTAGCTAGTCAGCATCCTTTTACATATAAACTAATGGACTTCTGTGGGACTTACCCAGCTGCACTATGAGTAGATGGCATAGGAAAATAGGGAAAAAACCTACACGAAATTGAAGTCACACAAACACTGGACAGCATCCTGTGGCCAGTTAAAATCTTCAATCAATACAATATCAATGTGTACTTTTAATCACTCTTAAGTATTTAGATATATGTTAAGTATCTAGCTTTTTCATGATTTCCAAATGCCACCTTTGAATAATAAGTGGTCCTCAAGCTTTAGTGTACATCAGAATCACCTGGAGGCCTTGTTAAAGGCAGTGGCTGGTCCTGGGTGGGGCTCAGTAATTTGCATTTCTCAGGTGGAACTGATGCTGCTGGTCCTGGTACCACACTTGAGAATTGCACCCTTAAAGGTTTTTAAAAATATTTATTTTTTGACAGTTATAAATAATCAGAAGCACATTTTTCATTTCTACCCAGTGTATGAAATGCACACACACACACACAAATTAAAACATATGAAACAATTTTTATTTATTTATATTTTTTATTTTTGTTTGTTTATTTATTTATTTATTTTTGAGATGGAGTTTCGCTCTTGTTGCCCAGGCTGCAGTGCAGTGGCGCCATCTCGGCTCACTGCAACCTCCGCCTCCAGGGTTCAAGCAATTCTCCTGCCTCAGACTCCTGAGTAGCTGGGATTACAGGCATGCACCACCACGCCCAGATAATTTTTGTACTTATAGTAGAGACGGAGTTTCGCCATGTTGACCTCAGGTGATCCACCCACCTCAGCCTCCCAAAGTGCTGGGATTATAGGCATGAGCCACAGCGCCTGGCCTATTTTTACTAAATATAATGAACACTGAGTTTTTTTTTCCATCTATTCTATCTTATTCTATTCTTTTTCATTCAAAAAGAAATGTTGGTCATAAGCCAGTAATTTGATTTTATGACCACTGTTAGATTAAGACCTACAATTTGAAAAATACTGCTCAGGATTCCCCCTGTTTGTCACTGAATTTAATAATAACTATTAACTTGTATTGATATTTATCAGGTGCCAGACACCCCTCCAGTCTTTTCATGCATTGCTCACTTCATAAATTAAGAACTCACATTAACACTATGAAGTAGGTGTCATTAAATGCCCATATATAAGGAGAGGAAAACTGTAGTTAAAATCGGTGAATGCAACCTCCCCAAGGTTGCAGGGCTTAAGCATATCAGAGCCAGGTTAGAATGTAGGTCTAATTCCAGAGCATAACAGTTAAAGGTTGCTCTCTTGGAGTGAGATACTTTAATTTGAATCCCAGATCTACCACATAGTGGCTGTGTGATTTTTGGCAAGCTACTAAGCCTCTCTAGGTTTTGGTTTTTCCATCTATAAGAGAGAGATAGGGCTCATGTAGGAACTGTGAGGATTAAATGAGATAACCTATGACAAGCACAGGGCCAAACTAGCACATAGTAAGGCTTCAATCATTGTTATCTATTCTTACATAGGAATGGCATTCTTAATTGTCACATCAAACATTGTCTCCTTTCCCTTTCCCTTGGCTTTTAGTTCCCGGTACTGTCTCTGGATTTGCCTTTTCTCCTGATTTCTTGGCTTCTGGCACTTGTTATCCTGTGACCTTGCTTCTGCCCCTCCCCCTTTCATCCTCCCTCGGCAGCTTGACCTGTTGTGCAGGGGTTCTCAGAGCTCCTCATGAGGCAGTTCCCATGGCTTCTACCTGTCTCCAGGCACAAAGACCCCAGCTCCTCCTTGGAATCCACCAACCTTACCTAATCTTATAGGTACTGAAAAGTTATCCCACGATGAAAGCATAAGTTGTCACCAATAAATGAAGTCTCCAATCAACAAATTATTTAGAAATGTGAGAAAGCAGAGATCTGCTGTATAACACATATATGATGTTATATAAAATCATCAACATTTCACTTGACGATTTCACAATGACAAACCATAATGGGAAGTGAAAACCAAAATGACACTGAAGGTAGTATTTTTGTGGCTAATCCTGGGTTTACACAGTTAGGTTGCAAGAAGATAACATCAGGCTGTTTTAACTCCCCCGGATCATATTTTCTTGCTGGAAGCTTCTCCATATAAGAAAATTTTAAACCAGATAGTTCCAACAAAATGAAACAATCAAAGATGACTCTTCAAGGTAGCTGTAGAATTCTCTTCTCTAGGTATCTCCTCAAACAGGAGTGAGATGCACTCCCATAATTCCTCTAATAATTGCCCTTCTCTGAGAAAGACTGGCTTTGAAATCCCATTCCCTGTAGCTCATTTTACTTCTGCGTGCCCAGTGAGTACTAACACTACTAACCCAACTTTTCTTCTTTTCTCAGTTGCTATCTCCCCAAAGAAATCATCCTTTTTTGTTTTATTTCAGCTTTCCCAAGCTGGGGCTCTATTCTTAAACTGGGGACCACTTGCCTCCTCTTTGCCTCCACCTGTTGCTCACAGTGCTCCCAGGACGTATGTCCCCATGTCATGGAATGAAGTAATGGATATAGATTACTGGATCTCTGTGGACCACACCTTTCCTGTTCACTTCTCACCAGAAAATAGTCTGGTTAGGCTAATCACTATAGATTGATTCAGTTACTGGCCTATGGTAGATGGAGCCTCTTTTCTCACTAGCCAACCTTGGTAGTGGTAACCCATCCCACAGGTCCCAACTCATCAGCACTAGGATGCTGTCATCTAGAAGACCTGCAAGAGAGCTCCAAGGCCAGTTCATGAGAATCATATTGAGATCAGGATCTATCCTACATGCCAAACCCATGAAATACACAGTTTATTATTTGAAAATTCATAATTGAAAAGCACTGAGAGGAAAGGGACATAGTAAATATGTCAGGGTATTTGGACTTATGCAGATGTGGTTTTGATGTTCAAGTCTACATTACCTTGGGTAACTTTATTTACCTCTCTGAGCCTAAACATCCCCATACAATAGTCATAAAAATATCTGGATTAAATATAACATAGATTACATCTAGAATTACTAATTCTAATTACTACTAAAATCAGAAGTAATGTATGTAAAAATATCTCATGGAGTACTTGGTACGTAGAAGAAGTACTTAATTCTTTAGGATGATTATTATTATGAGAGTCTTAGATTCAAGGAGAGGGAAAAAAACTCAAGACAAAATGAAAGTTATATTCTCCCTTTTTGGAGAATTTGAAAAATTACTTTATTTTCTGAAGGCTCAATTTGATGGTTTGAAAACAGCCCTAATTACAGCTCCATCAGCCTCAATTTTTTGATAGATTCAATTTGTAAGAAAAAACAAAAGGTTTTCTCTTACCCTTCTCAGCGACATCCCTAAGGGAATTCTTCTATACATCTGTGATACACATATTGAAAAGAACTCATGTTTGGCCTTAGTATCTACTTTCAAAGTTACTAAAATGTGATTTTTTTCCTACATTTTTTAAAAAATGTAGCATTTGGAAGAAAGGTCATTTTATCTATCAGGGATTATAAAAGCACTACAGAGAATGTTTCAAGGAACTACAAAAAATGACCTAGAAAACAATTATTGGTTCCAAAAAACTAAAGCCATACCATGCAAATTTATAAATATTTAACTAATTGTATCAAGAAAAAAACGTGATGTAACTATTCAATCTGTTTTCATCATGGATTTAACTTAGCTTAATTAGCTTAGTACACTTGTGGGTATCATAAGGGTATTAAAAGTGACAATAAGATGATGTGAACCATGTCATACAAAAAGCTTGACTGGCGTACAATTGAGCATCAAATTTAGTTCAGAGTTTTTTGGGTGACAAGTCAAACTGAGAAGCATGGTGAATTTTTAGCCTGTCTTTTTTCTAACCAAAAAAACCCACTAGTTAATCAGAAGAGATATACTTTAAAAAATTCCTAGCAGTCTAGGCAAAAAGGAATTTATCATGGAAATCCTTATATAAAGAATTTGAAACGCATAACATAAGGTGCCAAGATATTTCTTTCCTTTTCAGCTCATCTCTTTTATATTGACTCTCAGTAGTTAAAAAGGGGGGGTATCATATTAAAGCATAGTGTAATAAAGACATTTTGACATTTTAACAAAAAAGTATTGTAATGTGATTATAGTAAGTACATTTCCAGTTATGTAATTTGATATAGATAGAGAGTTTAGAAAACTTAGAGCAATTAGCGATTGGACTATTATTCTTAAATATCAGTGATAGTAGTTCCAGGCTTTTCAGAGATGCTGAATAAGGAGGAACTTGAGCTTTCAATCCCTGGCTATACCCTGAACCACACGTATGAATTCTTGATCAAAATACGTATTATCCACGTGCTAACTGGCAGTATGCACATGACAAAGGTAACATTGCTCTGAAAATAAAATAAGCCCATATGTATTTTAGTCTAAACAGTGTGTAAGCCCCTTTCTACATATTAGCAAAAATAACTGCAGACAAAGAATTTTTTTCAGGAAGAAACTTTGGATTTGCCTCAGTGCTCAAATGAGATGAAAGGAAAATCAATACAATAAAGAAACTATAACATGAAAGAAGCTGCCCCTCTAAATTTCCTCTTCTCCATCCAGCTCCACATTCTCCTTTAATTAATTTCCCTCAAGCACCAGCACTCCAGATAATTATTAAATAGCCAAAATTAGTGTTTCTATTTTATTTGATTAATTAAGACTATTGCCCATTCAATAAGCAGGATCTCCAAATTTAACTTCATTATTAGTCTTCACAGCCAAATCCAGGACCTCCCACTTGGATTTCACAGATTACAGATTTTATAGTACAATATAAAACACAGTTGTGGAAAATGTATATCTATTATAATTGTTTCTATTTTCTTTAAACTCAAGTGTATTTTGTGATGTCCAAAAGAAAAAGATGATTTCACAGTAGTTTTTGTTTGTTTTGCTTTTGCTTTAGATATGCAAAAGCACAATATTTCATCTATTATAGAGATTAAATAGGCATGTGTGGGGTGGTATGGAAAGTGGATTATGTTTTGTAGCATTGTTATATTTGGAAAATGAACTCTAAGACCAAATAGACATTTTTTAAATGGACTTCTGAGATATAACTATCTTCATAAGTTGGAGTGCACCAGTATTTCATTTATTGACGACTTCACTTGCCCACTTATTGGGGAAACATTAACAGATGTGTACTATGTTTCCAACACTGGGCTGGGGGCTTGAATTCAGGTGGCTCCCCCACCACCAATCTACCCAGTGAGGAACTCACAGTAGTTGTGAGAGAGGACAGGGGAAATACATAAAAATTATTGCAACAATTATTCAAAGTATGTTCAAAATGCTATAGAAGCAGACAAGATGAAATGATTAATTCTTCACGGAATTGGGTAAGTTTTCCCGAAGGAAGTTCCACTGGAAGTGAGCCACCAAGAATCAAGAGGGACTTTCAGACAGAAGGCATTCCAGGAGAATGAATCCATGAACCAGAGATCAGAAGCCTGAACAGTGAGGAGACCTTGTACACAAAGGGGGAGCTAAAAAGAAAGGGCTTGGAAGAGCTTTTAGAAACTATACTAAAGAGTTTAAATATTGTAAGTCATTGGAATCCAACAAAGGTTTTAGATAAAGAGACTTACACAGTTAGATCTGACTTTGTAAAGATTAACTGTAGCAATGCCACAGTGGAGTGTAGATGCTGCTTTTTTGCACAAATGTACACAATAACCACTGAAAACTGAATATTCTTTGATTCTTCATCACAATAATCCCTCCACTTCCAAATGTGCTTGTACTTAGCTGCTGAAGCCATCAGAACCTTGTAAAGTTTGAGTTTGTATAGCAAAGACAGATGGGTTACCATTGCGAGACTCGATGTGAGGCTTCCACTCTTCACATGAAGAACATTAACTTCATGGCTAAGCTGACCATTTAACAACTGTATTTTTAAATATCTTTCTGTATCTGGGAGAGATCTTAGTCCTTTAGCCATGGCTTTAAGAGCAAACAGGCATCGTTCCATTTTAAATATCTTCTGCTTTTTCCTCTATAAAATGTGATCAGTGAAGAATGGATGTCTCAGGCTCTTGTTATCACCAACCTCCTCCACACCCACATGTAACCAATTGGGTGGCTGTCCCTTGTTACTGGGCTCCAGACTGAGACTCTACCTACCTTCCCCATCTTGTTTTTCCAAAGCACCCACTTGTACCAGAAACTGAAACATGGCAGAAAGAAGGAATCAGCATGACATAGCTCAATTCATGAGAAAAGAACCCTTCACTGCTGGTCAGAAAATTCACAGGAAAATAACTACAAGCGACTAAGACGGTGCTACAGCACCACACACACTAAGAACAGGAAACAAACGCACGGCCTGAACTGTACAGTAGCACCGCTTGCTTTCAGCCCTGAGAAACCAACCCAGACTTTAATCGAGCCGGAAAGAAAACACTCGTCAATGGGCCAGTAGGTCACAGTGAAAATATTAAGGGAACTGTTGGTAAACACCAACAGGGCTTTGGCTAAGACAGCAAAGTAATCATACTCGGACTACTCATCACCACCTGTTGCACATTCCTCACCCTTCCTGCCCACTCCTTACCCTTCACCCTGCAGAGTCCAAGATCACACAGTAAATAAAACCATGATCCATGAAAGCTCTCAGAGCTTTGGCCATTACTATCCCCAGCAAAAGCTGAAAGGATTTCCCTGGGGATTTCACCCAAAAACACTTTTACACTTAAATCTATGTTCTAGTCTGGAAGAATGCATTGCCATTTGTTCTGCAGTGGATTTTTTTCTAGATAACTTAATTCTTTCCCACTTCTTATCAGGCTTATATTTTCAAAATAGTTCAGATTCAGGGTATGTAAGGCACAGAAGAATATTACAGAGAAACCACCTCATCTCAAATCCAAACCCCTGAGATGAAGTAATAAAACCAAGTAATATAGTTGAAAGCCAAGGACAGTCTGAGTTTCAACAGCCCCTCCACATGCAGAAAGAATTACCGATTATTTTTCCTAGTACCATACCTCTTTTATATTCCTTCCAAATACCTCAAACTAAATTCCAGATCTGAAAAACTCAGTTTATCTCTTATCCCCACTTAAAGGTCTTCCACCAAGAATATACTGCCTGTGAATGGTAGGATGTTATTTATTTCAGAGTTTTGTCAATATTTCCGTCCTCCAAGATGTCAAAGGTGAAGTCTCTGACCACTAAGTAATGGCTCTAGAGAGAACAGATTTCTGGACTTGCTACCTGAAGGCCAGGCAGTCAGGGAAGATAAAATGGTAACTTTTATTACTGAGCTCTCTTACAAGTTGAAATATGCCCAGAAAAGAGGAAGAATTAAGAAATTTAAAAGGGGGAGTGAGATCTTCACAAGTCTGATGTGACTTTATGGCTGTTTTCTGGCTTTTTCTAATACATACATTCTGTGTGTTTTATTTTACAATGCCCAGTTCAATAGCGTCATCCATTTTTGCCCTGAAGGATTGGTTTTGAGTTCTAATTGGAACTGGGGACAGATTGTTTGTATTTAATCCGTCTGTACATCTTCTACTCAGTAACTGAGTAAAGCTCTTAAACTCTACTGCAAATATCCCTGGATTCCAATGAATTTGTCTTACTTAGTAGACATAGCAACACATATTGTTTTATTTATGTATTTATGTATAAGCAAAGCCTTAACAACTTTTATATTCCAAATACTCAGCACGATTTATTTATTTCCTTTTTAGAAAGAGATGAAACAATGATGCCGTGGAAGGTTAAAAAAAGAGTAACATAAAATGTGCTGGAAACAGAAATTACTTGGAGAAATTACTTGTTTAATTCAAATGAATTAAACGAGATATAGTCTACAAAGAAGTCTGGGCTCCCTATTACTGGTTGATGCTGAAAATCTATCTAAGGAATTCAGAGTAACATTGTCTCCCTTCTATTTGGGTACGTATAAAATAAATGTAGTCTTAAGTATTTTCTAAAAACGAGACCATATTACATGTTTATCATTAAATGTTATTTTTAAAAACATTTGGACAAAATCTTTTGAGTGGCTTCAAATTCACCAAAGATTCCCTAACGTTTTGTGTTTACAAATATATGTATATATTTTATAATATATATTTCTAATATGTAATATATTTATAAATATTTTAAAACATATTTTATACATATAAAATATATATTTTTGCAAATATATATGCTTATTATTAAAACCTATCTTTGTGCGCCTGTTACATAGGGAACTCCTATAAGATACTAGAGGAAACAAACAAGGGGAAGGGGAGGATGGATACCAAGAGAGGAAATTGAATTGTACAAAGGGTTTTTATTAATTCCATCTATTTTTAAAGCCAGAAAGACATACTACCAGCTTGCTGTCTCCCGGCACAAACATGCGCGCGCGCGCACACACACACACAAACACAGACAGGCTACATCAGCACGGGATTCCTGCGATCCCTCCCCGCCCCCCGCAGCCCCCTCCCCGCCCCCCGCAGCCCCCTCCCCGCCCCCCGCAGCCCCCTCCCCGCCCCCCGCAGCCCCCTCCCCGCCCCCCGCAGCCCCCTCCCCTGGCGCAGGCAGCCGCGTCCGTCCTTCCCGCGGTAGCTCCGCGCACTTCCTCGCGACCGCATCACCTACCTTGCTGGGAGCTCAAGACAGATGCCGGACAGGGCTGCTGCTCCGAAGGAAAAGGCTCCCAGGACCAGCAGTAAGAAAACGCAAAGAAAAAAAGGTGGTAGTGAGGCTCCTTTACTTTCCACAACAAGGGGAAGTGTTGAACTCTATGCACTGGGCTGCTCCGCAGCGCGGGTTTCGGAGGAAATAGGCGGCCGAGAGAGCTGCGCCTGCGATGGGAAGTTGGGGGGATTCCCCCAGCCACCCAGCCACCCCCGCCAGGCTCCTCTCTGGTCCCCGCCGCAGCCTTGACAGCTCCCCTGGTCTCCGAGCCCCTCCAGAGCCCTGCTGGTTTCCACCCGGAGCTGGGCTGTGTTGCCACATGCACTTGAGAAATCCTAGCAGTTGCGCAAAGAGTCCCAGAAGTTAGAAAGGGTGATTGTGTGTGAATGTGTAAATATACAGTACAAGAGGCTGGAACAACTGAGTGGGGCCAACCCTCAGACACAGCTCGAGGTTTCAGATTTCATTTGGCAACTGGTAGCTTCACAGGACTCGAGCCGCACTACAGGGGAGGCCGGCAGGAGCCCCGCCCTCCCAAAGCCTGGGTTATCTGAGAGCTGGAGCTACACCGCCTGGCGCCACTGACAGAATGCGCCCTGCCTGGTTCCTCCGCATCTGGCATCGCTCGTTCCTTTCAAGTGCATCATAGATACTTGTTGGCCACAGATCTGGGGCTGTGGGCGCGAGAAGGTTGGTGAATACATGTCTCCTGCCCTCAAGGAGCTCTGCATTTCATTGGCCAAACCCCATACACCGGTTTTACTTGCTTCTACCAACTCTGTCTCGCTAACATTTTATTTCTCCAATTAGAATTACCTGGGCCATTAAAGCAATATTCCTGGAAATGCACATTTAGATGGATGCTCTCTAACTAGAGCCTTAGAGAAATTCAAAGTATAATTACTTTCTTACGGTGGTGTAAGAACTCTCGGAGTTACACAATATGGGACAAAAGGACAAACTAGTAAACATTGTTTTGATGCAGGCCGTCTCTTCCCACCATCACCACAATGTCTGTTTCAAATTGTGATCTTACAGTTCTGGTTACCTGGCATGCTGAGTCAAATTATTTCAAAAAGCTTTGTAAAGATCTCTGTTTTAGAAACCCACTTACAGTGGATCAGTCATGCAATCCTAGCACTTTGGAAGGCTGAGGCAGGAGGATCGCTTGAGCCCAGGGGTTTCAGACCAAAATTGGCAACATAATGAGACTCCTGTCTCTATAAAAAAAAAATTAAAAAAATAAAAAAAAAGTTGGGCGTGGCGGCGTATGTCTGTAGTCCCAGCTACTCAGGAGGCTGAAGCGGGAAAATCCCTTGAGCCCAGGAGGTCAAGGCTGCAGTGAGCTATAATTGTGCCAGCGCACTCCAGCCTAGGTGACGGAGTGACACCCCCGTCTCGAACAATTACTACTGCTACTACTAATAAAAGAAACTCTCTTTTAGAAATCATCACCAGATATCCTTAAGACACAGAATGGGGGTGTCCTCACTAGGGATCTCCAGTGAGAGAGGGATATGGAAGAAGAGCAAATGTTTAGTTTTAGAAACACCAAAAATAAAAGGCTGAGTGGACACTGATATGTTTTTCCTTTTTGTCCTCTTTCTCCAAGTTCTTGGAGAAACGAATCTACCCCATCCCATGCTGAGGTCCTACTATAAACTTGATTTTCTGGTGGGAGAATTCTCAGCCCTTTAATGAATCAAATTAATTTGTGTGGGGAAAAAATTGCGTTTCATATTTCATTTTAAAAATATGTATGGAATTCCTAAGCTAGAAGTAATGTAGCTTATTTTCCAATTGGTGGGAATAAATTACCTTCATCAACCCACATGGCCTTACATGTTCTAGCAACACCCTAGCAGGTGAATGCTGATGGGCAGTTTCAGATGAAAGCTGGAAAATAACATTAACCCAAATGAAATTTGCACACATTTGATGGACTCAAAAGCCTCAGGAAGACAAGTACCAATAATTATGATTCAAGATGGGGACATTTAAAAAAACAAGGAAACTGTCATGTCAGTAATTTATTTCAGGGTCTAACAAATATTACCACAGCAGTTTAGTCTCAAAGTGATACAAAACTGAACTCAGGGTGGTTACTGGGTAGTCCCTAGTCCAAAAGATTAAGACACACCTCTAATACACACACAGGCTGTGTTCAAGGCCTTTTCCTTCCCATCTTCTGGTTCTGTCTCCACCCTTTCCAACTGATAGCACTTCATTGGTGTGTGTGATATATGTGATTATCTTAAGCTAGAAAGTACAACAGAAGGAGAGGATGGTTGTCACTTGGGGATTAGACAGTTGAGAGGATAGGAAAGGAGTTATATCCACCAATACAAGCCCCTTCTTCCCCTCCTACTTAGAAAGAGGTGGACCATTGCATTCCTTTTCTAGAAGCCCCTCAGCAAGGAGTCTGTTCCAAGAGAATATAACCTGAACTAGAAACTGCGTTGTTTTCTGGCCTCTGACTATACTGCTCCTCTCTTATTGTAGATTAGTTGGGACCAAGAGACATTCCTTATACGTATTGTGGCATCTTTAAAGGAGAGAATAAACTCTTGAACAAGACCCTTGAAACCTGATTCTAATCAGAGGAGAATGCTGATGTGACTGATACAGACTCCAGGGAGGTGGTGCCTGACATTCAGCTCACTGGATCTCTGCTCAGAACTTGCCCAGAGGGTTACTTAAAGCTGAGTTTTATCAGTCAACCTCAATTCTGAGTTAAAGGTGTGCTTCAAACAAACTCTACAAAACCCAGAAATGATTCAAGGATAAGGGCTAACTTTCCAGGATCTTCAGGTCCTAGACACCTTCAGGAAAAAAGTCTATGAAAGGTCAGTATAATGGCAGGCAGAGTTTGAAGGACTTCAGTGTTTACAGGAAGGATGTATAATACTTTAGGACCGGGGGATTCCAGAGATCTAGAAATGAAAGCAGAGGAGGAGAGAAGGAAGATAATGGCTATACTACATCTGGACAAGTTGTTTGAGTGTTGGTATTGCCAGAGTCAAGGAAAGAAACCCCCTCCATAGACAAAGCCCCCTGGACACTGATTCTATCAGGCCATTCTTTCAATGGAATTTAGTTAGGGAAACCTCAGCCAGTGTTTCTACAATTACTTTGTCTAATATTTAAAGTATATGGGTCAAATGTTACTATTAAATGAGTATGGATTAAAATGTATTTTAATGTACTTCACTAACTTAAAAATTGCAAAGTTTTTCACCAGATTCCATGTCAGATTCTTTGAAAACCTTAGCATAGAGTGATTCATTGTCATATTACCCAATTGTCCATTAATATCAGATACTGAAGCTTTTTAATTACATTTTCTTTTAAGAAAACATAAATTCCTAAGAGGGCAAAAAACACAGTAACAAAACTGAATAGTCAAGAATTGCCAAAATCCTAACATTTTCAACAAGCTCTCACCAACAATGCAGAATTTGTGTGGGTACTGGGATTTGCCAACATCTGATTTCAGGATTCAGATAGAAGGCTATGCCTTTTAAAGCATGTCTGTTTCTAAACATCTGTTCTTGTTTTTTCTTTTTATTTCCTGGTAGAAGTTTCTTTTCTACAAAGTCCAGCTTTGTCTGAATTACTAAGTAAGGTGGAAAGAGATTAAGGGAGCTTTGTGCCCACCCTCTCCAACACTTTGGATCACATGATTCAGGGAAAGATGTATTATTATTGTTAAAATGGTGGGGAAGGATCAATCCAGCTAAATACCTGTAAATAAGATAATAAAGGAGAGAAAGAGCATGATAGAAAAATAAGCTGTGGCCATGGGTCATCCATGGCCTCTATAATTCCAACACATGCCTTCTAACAGTCAACAGCTTTATAAATGAAACACATTATGTGCCCATTCAGATCCTGAGAGGAGTGTGGTATCAACCGTCACCACACTTTCTTTGAATTGACATATTTTTGGGTCACACTCTTTCATCTACCAGACCCCCAAAGTAGATGGTTCCAAAAATATCAATGATTAAATTTACTTTCTAAGTACTGTCTATTGGTTTTTGTCTAATTACAAAATTAATTAGTTCAACTCATGAAACTTGGAAGCTACAGAGAAGCTTAAAAGAAGAGATTTAAAACTGCCCATGATCTCCCCACTTAGAGATAAGTAATAACATTTTGAATATGTTGAATAAGTCCAATTGTTTTTTTTACCTCTGTGTATGTGCCTATTTTGTATAATGATTTGGATCATGTTACTAACCAAAGCAAGATCCTTTTGGCCTGGGCCCAAATTCAAACCTTAGTTTCCAATCAAGATGTTCCTTTTTGAGACAGTGTCTCACTCTGTCCACGGGCTGGAGTGCAATGGCCCCATCTCAATTCAATGCAGCCTCAACCTCCCAGGCTCAAGGGATCCTCCCACCTCAGCTTCCTGAGTAGGTGGGACCACAGGCACGCACCACAAAGCGTACATAATTTTTAATTTATTTTGTAGAGATGGAGTCTCCACAAGTTACCCAGGTCTCAAACTTCTGGGCTCAAGCGTCCTCCTGTCTCGGTCTGCCAAAGTGCTGGGCTTACAGGCATAAGTCACTGCTCCCGGTCTCAGAATGCTTCTTTTTATGCTGTTTAAACCTAACTTCAGGAATTTGCTGGATTCTGTTAAAGAATTAATCTCGGCCGGGCGCGGTGGCTCATGCCTGTAATCCCAGCACTTTGGGAGGCCGAGACGGGCGGATCACGAGGTCAGGAGATTGAGACCGTCCTGGCAAACACGGTGAAACCCCCTGTCTACTAAAAATACAAAAAATTAGCCGGGCGTGGTGGCGGGCGCCTGTAGTCCCAGCTACTTGGGAGGCTGAGGCAACAGAATGGCGTGAACCTGGGAGGCGGAGAGATCGCACCTCTGCACTCCAGTCTAGGTGACAGAGCGAGACTCCATCTCAAAAAAAAAAAAAAAAAAAGAATCTCTCGCTTTCATGATATGCAGATTTTTCTCCAATCAGCTCCCAGAGAAACTTTCTGCTTTATACCTGCTGTGGTCATTTCTAAATCCCTTACTAGTCTAGAATTTCCTTGTGCTTTGCTGACTCACAATTTCTCTAAGACAACCTTTAATATGCAGTCATTCACATTTTAGCTCACCACATTCTCTATCCTTTCTCTACTCCCTTATAAGTACAGGCATATGTGTGTGCACGCACACACACACACCATGAACATTCATATCACACATGCATACTCATAAAGTGAAATATTTCTCCAGACATGCAATTGTTCACTTATGGACTCAACTCTTAGTGTAATACTGAATGACATTTAAAATATTTAGAAATCTAATTGCACCTGAGCAGCAACAAAGTGGGCTTACTCTGACTACACATGCCATTTTGTAGATTTCAAGCATGTTCACATTTTGGAATCTTTTCTTTTCAGTTTTTTAGAAAATTAAATACTGCCATTGAAATAACACCATTCTTCTCCCAAGAATCATTATATAGTATTCCTAAGTTACATGTGTGACTTTTAAAATAGCTTCCTATTCCCTTATACTCAGGATAATAGAAAGCAAGTTACCAATAGGTTCTTCACATTCATAATTCATGTTTCTAATTGCATTGTCATGTATATTCCAAACCTTATCATCTGTCTGGGAAATCCTCATTTCGTCCTATTTTCATCATATCCCAAGCTCTTTAAATAATGGATTTTTTTGGCATCAGTTCCATTCTTTCCCTCTCTCCATTGCCTGCTTTATCTCATCTCAGATAATTTAAAATTAAAGAGAAGAACATTTACCTCATTGTACATTCTTACCCCACTGATAAAAGAATACACAGTCAAGATACAAATCTAAGCTGTTAAAACTGTTAAAGAACTCAGATCCCAGGCATAACTGATCCCATTGTTGATCAAACGTTAGATTTGATCAATATTTGGATTGCTGACTAGAAAATTGGAGCTGAGGTCATTGTTTTAAGTCATCTAAAACCAACTAGATTGTCAAGAAGATTAAAATGTTTTATTGTTATAGAGTGCAGACAGGACCATCAACTTACTCAATTATCTTCCGTAAAAACTAGATAAGAGAGTGTAAATGAATCAATATAACTCATCCAAACATATTAATAATGATAATAATAAAATAAGAAGAATATTCCTTATGGTTATTAATGTGCCTTTCCCATATGTGGTCTTTATTGCAGCAGCTATGAGAAATTTATCCTTATTTTCACTTTGCAGAAGAGAGAACAAAGAGAAACATTGTATATATCTTATTCACAATCATATAAGCTAATAAATGATGGAGAAAAGATTTGAATTTAGGCTATTCAAGTACAAAGTCTGGATTCTTTTCACTGATGTATCAGCAACAGCATCTCCCTATGCAAATAGAGACAGCACAATTTCCCTTTCATATATCACTTATATTGGCCAAGTGTTTGAAAATAATTATTATTACATTATTTTGTGAGGAGGAAGATTGTTGTTCTCCTACAGACCAATTTTAAATCCCACTTAAAGTATTAATTTTAATGTCCTACACTATCAGATCCTTTATTCAAGTTACTAACCAATAGCAAAATTAACTGTTCTTCTTCTTATTCCAACCAGTAGCAAAATTAACTGTTTTTTTCTTCGTGCTCACCATCTGTGAGAGGTGCTAATGGACAGTGAATTGGCCAAAAAGCCAAGGGGAGTATCAGCAAGTGGAATAGTAAGTGGTTCGGATAATTCATGAACTTGAAAATTAGTCCCTCAATACTGAGTGTTGTATTCAAAATCTTAAAACTAAGATCTTGAAGGGAAACTAAAATAAAAATTTTGAAATTATAAGCTTGGTTTTTTAAGACATAGTAAAGATAGGCTGAGGCTGATTATGTAAGAAGTAGTGTTGGGGATAACTAGTTCCTTAATATTTGAAAAATGACCAAACATAAACTTCCTGGAAAATCAATAAAAATAATGGAATTTTTGAAAGATTTTCAAAATAAACTAGGAGGATATTCCAAGAAGATAAATGTTAAAGGAAAGTTCAAGATGTGGGCTATTATGCAGATAAAATAGGACTACAAAATTATTGTCCTCTCCTTTTCTTTTCTTTTCTTTTCCCGAGTTTGTGTTTGAAAATGAGAGCAAGCAAGCTTTGTGAAGGCTTACTTTGCAAGAATGGCGAGCTTAGGCCGGATTGTAAGATGAGACTCAACTGGGGCTCAGGCTGGGGAGGGCAAATGGTAGCATTTCTAAATGCTGAGCAGTTTGTCTTGATGTCTTCAATGGAAGACTTTCTTCAACCTTGTGTACTTTACTCAAGAATAGACAGGTGAGTAAAAGAGGCTTCTAAATGGTGATCATGAGGAATAGTAGTCCCAAGAGTTGGAAATGGAGGCTCTTGAACTTCAGCCTAAGACACTGATGCATTTTAAAGAAAAATAGTCCTTTTGGATAGGACATTAGATGATTCCATTCAAATGTTCTCTGACTCAAACTGGGGGAAAATAATTCCAAATTCAAGAAAGGGAACTGTGGCTCGGTGTAGTGTTGCTGTAGTCCCCACTACTTGGGAGGCTGAGGTGGGAGGATCACTGGAATGCAAGAGTTTGAGGCTGCAGTGAGCTATGATTGTACCACTGCACTCCAGCCTGGGTGACAGAGTGAGACCCTGTTTCTTAAAAAAAAAGAAAAGAAAGAAAAGGGATTGAAAAATCAAAGGACAGAGAATGAGACCACCTTTTGGGTAACCTAATAATTTTAATAGTGTTATAGAGAAAGCTTCTCTGAACTGGGTTGGGGCATGGCAGTGCCCAGCATCTGTAGAAGCAATCAGCAGCAAGATCAATCCCAGCTGTTCCTTCAGGTTCAATCCTGCTGCAGGTGAGGGCTATGAGGTAAGGGAGCAGATAGCAGCACTGAGATCTGTGATGACTTCCAGGGAGAAGACATAAGCTACTCAGTACTCTGTGAGAGAAAGCTTAATTGGATGGGGATTTCCATCATTCCTGCTAGTTGGAGACTTGGAGCTTAAAGTCTAAAGCCTAGACTTTAACCAGTTCATACACATTCATTATTAAGGTAAAGTTCTCCCATATTCCTGTTTAAGGTTTTTTAAACTTCTGTCAATACTCAAGTACTATCACAAAGAATTAGAAGCACATAGGGGAAGTAGTTAAGCCCAATAATGGTAATTTCATAAAGCAGAAGCATATTGGGAGAAATTAGCAAATTCAGGAAAGTAGCTGGTTGTCATATACAGAGATGCCTCACTTACACAGGCACAAAAGTGTGTAATACCTCCTAAATGTGAGGCCCAGCGCTAGATGCAAAGTCAATTCAGATTTGTCTGTGTTTTCAAGAAATTTACATTCAATCATTAAGAATGGGTGAACAAAAAAGATTTAAAGTGAATTTTCCATTTTCCTCTAAGGTAATGCAGAAACGATGTTGCAATATGAACATTTATTCTTAGCTAACATCTAGCCTCTGAAAGTTACTAGCATCATTTTCACAGCAAACAAAAGACTTACTTCTTATACGGTAATGTTATATCATTATTTTAGACAGACTCCAGCTAAGACTTTAAACAGTATGTGAAGATATTTTGACATATTTTACATTTTTGCTCATTTGTTGTTTCAATTATCAACACATTGCTATAAAAACCAGAAGACAATGGCATAGTTAATATGAAAATTTCCCATGTAGGTTTTTCTTGGCATCCATTGCACAGAATCTCTGGTTTTGAACTGTGCAATTAAGAAAAAAACACTCTTTTATAAGTAAAGACGGAAATCTAATGATAGTATCAAATCTTCCGAAAATCAGTTTACAAACATTAAAATAATTTCTGGATTGAGCATTCCACTAAGAAAGCCTAACACAACAACAAAAATCTTTTATTTTAACATTGAGCTTTAATTGCTTATATTGCCACACTTATTTCAGCCAAAAGGTGACAAGATATATAGAAATATAATTTGTAGGCTTAAAAGTGATTCAGAAGTTGTTTATTTTTTCTACTTCTCCTTTGCTTTTGGGGGTGATTGTTGTAAACACTTCAATTTCATTGGGTCTTAATAAAATTAATTGTATAAATCAAATATTTAAGATTAAGTGCCTTATAATGTATAAATTGATTTATTAACCCCTCATAAAGAGTGCCCCATTGGATTTTTAAAAAATATTTAGAATCAAATGGTTACTTAAATAATAAATTTTGCACATGAAGAATCTATTAATTTAAAATTTTTGAGAATAAGGATTTATGTTAATTTTTACATGTAAAGAAAAATACAATGATAGTAAAATTGTTCTTTATAGTGAAAAATGCCAACTGTAGAACTAACATGCTTATCTGAATTTAACCTTGTCTATGTTCAGTTTCTTTTAAAAGGTTATCATATTCACAGGTTATTTAAAATAATCTCTAAACATAAAGTCCAAGAGGCCAAAAATTAAATATTGTTAATATGAGTATATTGTTAATTAAACTGTGTTACACTCATGTTGATTTTATAAGAACTGGTTACATTTCCTAGGAACTATCATTATGTATAATCTACACAGATAAACCCATTAATAGTAAAAGTTTGCATTTGCAGTTCATCGAGGTAGATTAGTGGCCTATGGTTGCATTTTTTATTTAATAACTACAGGGATTCCCCACTGAAAATTGCCTTTTCCAAGGTGAGCACACTGTTCTCAAATGTAAACTAATAGTCTATAAACACATAGCTTTGTAACAACCTAGGAAGCTATGACAGATTTATGTAATAACTTCTTCTTATACTGCTAATGAGCTTTAGCAAGTCAACTTATGGGTGTTTATCAGAACTTTGTGTAGGTTTTGAGCAGTCATGAGACTTTAACATAAAAAATGAATTATTTATTTAAAAGGCTACAATTAAAAGATCAATATGTGATCCACATTGAATGATGTTTACTAATATCATTGGTCATTTCTGAGCTCAATAAAGATTTATTTACTATATGAAATGCCTTTTAATTACTCTACATAAAACCTCAATACTCAGAATTCAGGGGAAAAAATTAAAATCAAGCTTGATTCTTTGTTTAATTTTATTGCACTTCAATTGCAAATACAAATATAAAATAAAAGTTTGCATTAGGTTATAAGAAAACATTCTCATGGAAAACAGCAGGTAGATGTCAGATGTGTTGACATCTACACCATAATAATCCACTCTCTTGTCTCTCAACTACTTGCCCAAGTAGACATTCCCAAGGAGACATCCCTTGTGAAAAGCGACCTATGCTTTTCCCCTCCAAATTCCCTATACCAATGCCACTATCCTGGGGTGACAGGGAAAGGGAAGAACAACACAGAAGTTTTGTGTTTGTCTGAGAACCAAAACATTGTAGGTCTGAACAAAAACTCACTAAAATTGCCCTTTGTATGTATGTAGAAGTTGTAAGTAATAAATTGTAAATTAATACTGAATTCACAGTTTTTGTGTCATGTATCTTTTATTCATCAATAGGATACTAAAAATACAACTACTTACATGTGAAAGGACTTTTAAATATTTTGACATTAAAAGAGTTCCCAAGAGGTGGGAAAAGACTGTGAAACCTCTGCTTTAGGGCCTCACCTCTCCTGCAGTGTTGCCATTGTGCTTTGAAAGTGGAAGAGTACTGCAGGGAGGGAGGACAGATGTGGGTTATAGTTGGCTGCAACAACTCTTCTCTGATAGCATACACAACACTAATACATTACAGAATCCTCTGCAGAGCAGTCAGGGTCACAGCAATTTTTAGAGTCCACAGTCTAAATATTCTGCTACTAGTTTTACTAATGGGGACATGAGATAAATGTGCACTATTGATTTCTTATAAAAATTATTGAGTTTGTTTCAAAATAGTTTAATCATTATTGCTGCCTTTAATAGAACTCATTATAATGGCTGTCATGAGTCTGTTTAGATGGTTCCACTATAATTCAATTTTAATTAACTTGATCATTATTTTTAACAATGCTAATAAACAAGCTATGCTACAACCTTATCCTAACCTTGGCTCTTTTAGCACAGATTTAGAGATTTAAACCTTTTTCTTTCTTTTAAAAATTGCTATAGTGATACTCAGCAAATTACATTATTAAAATCAGTGAATTTCCCTTTTCATCAGTCTTCCATTAGCAACCTTCAATATTTTTATGTTCTAAGAGGATTTCAACTGCCTTCCTGCCTGACCACACGCTTCATATCACAGCACACAAGGGCTATGGCATGAATAACGTGTACATTGATGTTTGCATATTATAAGCACAGAGGTTCAATTACTTTATAATATATTCATAAAACTGCCAGGCATTTTAGATCCTTTGGAGAAAATGAGGATTGTTTAAAAACAGAAGTGCTCAAATCTCATAGTTCAATATACAATACAATTTGGATATTACTATTAACATTATGATTTCATGAGTCCTAGAAAACTACACATACCAGAATCTGCTCCACTTAATGGAGTTGCAAAGGGTGGGACCAAGAGGCAGGTATAAAACCCTGCAAAAATGTCATCAATGCTAATCAACTTCCTAGAAACTCCCAACAGGAATCAGACCCACCTATTCCATAAGATCTATAGCTGTGCACTGATGATTTGTCTTTTGTTCTTATTTTTTGGTTGTTTGGCACCAGTTTCTTCAAATTATATTTTTCACTTGCTGGCTGAACCCCCCTGACCTCTCTCTCTCTCTCTCTCTCTCTCTCTCTCTCTCTCTCTCTCCATATATATATATATATATATATATATACACACACACACACATACATATATATATACACATACATATATATACACATATATATACACATACATATATATACACATATATACACATACGTATATATATACACATATATATACACATACGTATATATATGCATATTTGTATATATGCCCTATTCTACATGTATTCTGTAGGTATTCTAATAATGAATTCAGTCTCATTGTTCTGTTTAATTGGCATTCTTCCCACGAGAGATTTTCTTTTCAGATGTCTCCCATTGTCTCCCCATTCATTTCATAAGTGTCTTCTGTAGCTGGGAGTCATTGGTGTCATGATGTTACCTCATGGGATTATTCTGAACATAGAATGAATTATTGCATGTGAACTGAGAAGCACAGTGCCTGAAGCATGGAACATACTTGATTCCAACCATTCAATCCTAGGAGATTTTCCTTAAAGTCTTGCTACCTTAACTTATAGAAAATGACCATTTCTTTCATTCTCTAAATGCTCTCTGAGACCTTGACCTTCATGAGGCTCCAGAAAAGACATTATAGAACCAAATCTAGCATTGATCACATAAACACCAAGTGGTCAACACAGTCAGTATGAACACTTGTGGAAAATGCTGAGAAAGACAGAGATTTCAAAGACAAAAATTAGGAAGATGTTCTTTGGGAAGCTGGCAAGTTCACTCAGGTATCAGTTCTACCTAATTCAAGAAAACGAAATGCTGTCCAATCTTCCAGGTAGTTCCTAATATATATACAAATGACTCATGCACAACTTAACTAACCAAATGGTGATTGAATTTCCCATCCCATCCCTGGAATTCCTCTACTCTCCCATTTTATCTTCTCCCCACCACTCATCCCCGTTTTAACAATAGTCCAGAAATAACCCACGGTTGGATTTGTAGAGCTAGGCAAGGGTTGCTGAGGACAGAGGAAAAGGGATGGCAGTTCCCTCTTACACAGGCCTTGTCCTATCTCCTCTCCTCCTTTTTGTGCCTCCCTCAGAGGCTCCCTGTCTCCACATCAGAATGCCTGCTCTGGCTTCTGGGACAGAATGCCTAGGATGGCTTTCCTGATATAAACTGACTGTATATTCTCTCCTAAATGAGGGCACATCTCAGTGCAGTCTGTTATATGCCTAAATCCTTGTGTGAGCAATGGAAAGGAATGTAATTCTCAACTCAAGTGTCTAATTTCAGAAGTGAGTTCCAATGATTTAAGACTAAAACACAGATTCTTCCCTGAGACCGAATAGTGGCAAGTTTCAGAATTAGACCTGAAAAGTGATTTTCCCTTGTCTGTCCCCATTTTTTTTTTCTTAAAAAGAAGCTATGGGTTAGTTTCAGAGACAGGAGATACAGGCCAAAGCTGCAGAGACTTTGTTTAGTCACAGT
Source organism: Homo sapiens (assembly GCF_000001405.40). Taxonomy (NCBI): domain Eukaryota; kingdom Metazoa; phylum Chordata; class Mammalia; order Primates; family Hominidae; genus Homo; species Homo sapiens. Next base: position 85,462,381 of record NC_000004.12, on the reverse strand, counting down.
CAACATGGAAGAAGATCAATCCTTGCTAAAAGGAAAGGGCTACTAGTGGTTCTAAAAACAAAGAAAAGCTCAAGAGACAATAGGAAAACAAGATAGGAAGCAAGCCCAGAATGGAGCAGGATCTCTGAAGATTTGCAGTGCTCTAGGTAGCTCCAGATTCTCGGCTGCCCAGCTCATAGCTGTAGGAGTCCTTGGTTCCATTGCTTAGTGGTTATGTGAATAGGATGATGGGAAGCCGTCTCCCCTGGTGGTTCCCTGCAGCAGCTGGTCCTACTTTCCTAACAATATTTTCACATATAGATATTGTTCACGTGGTGGATAGGTCCTAGAACATTTCTGTGTGATAGAATTATACTTACATGATGGGATACTGTCCTCAAAATATTAACCAAGGTATTCTTTTTTTCTCGTGTTCCATTCTTCCTGTGTCTTTAATCTTTGAGTTCATTTGCGTCAGGTCGAGGATGGTCCAGGGGAAACAACGAAACAACTACCACCAAAAAATAGGTTCAAAAGCCTGTGACTCTGAATGACAGGATATATTGTTTACTGGGATGGAGACCGTACCATCAATGGTAATAGAAAGTCTAGTAAACATAGGGCTGGGCGTGGTGGCTTACACCTATAATCCCAGCACTTTGGGAGGCCATGGCGGACAGATCACGAGGTCAGGAGTTTGAGACCAGCCTAGTCAACATGGTGAAACCCCATCTCTACTAAAAATACAAAAATTAGCCGGGTGTGGTGGCAGACACCTGTAATCCCAGCTACTCAGGAGGCTGAGGCAGGAGAATCACTTGAAACCAGAAGGTGGAGGTTGCAGTGAGATGAGATCATGCCACTACACTCCAGCCTAGGCAACAAGAGCAAAACTCCATCTCAAAAAAAAAAAAAAAAAAAAAAAGAAAGAAAAAGAAAGAAAGAAAGAAAGAAAGAAAGAAAGAAAGACTAGTAAGCGTAGACAATAGACTGGGGAACCATCACTGTGATTTAGAGATAGCTTTTAATTCTGATCTGGAAAGAATTCTCCAATGTGGAGAAATACAGCAGATAAAGGGGATGTGGTACAAGAGAGAATGAGAAACAAAGGGGTGAGACCTAGAGCGAAACATAGACTTGGGCAGGGTCATTATCTAGAGATGGCCAGAACTGCACTAAGGGAGCATGTCTACCACTCCCACACAGGAACTGCATGGGAACTGAGGCCATTGATAGTGCAGTCTCTATCCCAGTAAACAATGTAGACTGTGTGTTCAGAGAATTCTTCTTAGGCCCTCCCTTTGAGATCTAGTGAAGGCCTTCTTTTTACAGCCCCCAACTTTTATCCATCCAGCAGAAAAATGGACCAGCTGCTCAAGATTTCGCTCAGTTATTATGTGACCTTATGCTACCATCTACATGGAAAATCTTTCAACTCTAAACTTGTAAATAGGCAATAGAGACAACACGACAAAAAGTGTTCTTCCGAAAAACTAAAGGTACATGGCGGGTAGTAGGAAATACTCTCATGAACATGTAAACCATCATGTTTTAGGAACCTTAATGGGTAAAATCAGATATTGTGGCCCTGCTAAGAAGTTTACTTCATTCCAAGATACTGAAGTGTTTAAAAGGCTAATGTAATAAAATCTGTGTGTAAAACAATGGTGGTGTAAAGAACGGTGCATCTCATTGGAGAGAACATGGGTTACTAGCATTTATTAAGGACCTACTTTGATCTAAGTATTGTGCTACACCCTTTATATACACTGTCTCACTTGATTCTTAATAGTATGGAATTTGGAAGAAACTGAAATTCAGAGATATTATATTAAACGACATGCCCAAAGTTTCTTAGGGAGTGAGCAGCAGTTCTGGGATGGGGATCTATATCTGTCTAACACCCACTGCAGTGTTTTTTCCTCTAGTCCATGTTCTCTTCCAACTTCTCCAAATTAATTTAGAAATAGCCATCAAGCTTCTCCCAATTGGGGAATGGCTGTCATGGATATCAACTACACTGTACTTTATTTCTAGTTTTTTGTTTTGTTTTGTTTGTTCAGAAAACCCTTAAGCTCTACTCCTTATTACCAATAATGACCCAATCAGTAATGAGTTATTGAATGGCAATCAGTCTTTTCATACCAAAATAAGTAAACCTCATTTCAAGATTTTTGAAATAGGCATATAAAGACTGAAATTGACATGATGAACCTGTTGAAGCACCATAGAGAAAACTGAAGCAAGGCAGCTACACTAGGAAGAGACTGGATTTTATGAGGATTCTCTTGGAGAGGATACAGTAATTGCAGGCAAACAATCCTGACATTTAGTCTCCTGAAAAGCAACTTACTCTCTTCACTCATGAGTAACAGTAGATCAAGGAGTAGGGCTTTCAGAGCAGGAAGCAGTCTCCACGTGGACAAGAAAGGTGGGTAGCAGGTGAGTCCAAATTCAAGTAGGTAAACATCCAACAGCAGGCAGCAGCAAGAAGCTCAAAGTCCATGCAAACAAAAAGCACCCAGGAGATCCTTACAAGTTGATTTAGCAGCTAGGCCCATGTGGTCAAAGGACCAAGAAAGAGTAAACCACCAAGGGGTATGTGAATTGTAGGAGTAAGGAGCAAGCAGGCAGAACTGATGTCTAGTCCCTGCCATGAACTGAGAAAGGGACAGTTTTCTCCCCTACTTTTATTCTGAAACTCTCAGTGTTAGCCTAGAAACAGTTGCTAGAGATTGAGTCCTTGAAGGTAGAAGACCATTATGGCCAAGATATTTTCTGACTAGGATGGGGATAATGATCAAGCAGCCTATAAAAGAAAATGCTTTAGTAGCTACTGATTTTGTGAATAGCTAATAAAAGGGATGTCAATGAAGGCTAGACTACCTTTCACAATATTCCAGCATCATTATCTGCATATGCAGACTTCAATAAATAGACATTAACACTGTATATTGCATATTTTTGTGGTGAATTTTAGACCCATCCAAAAAAAAAACTTTTTGGTAAGTTTTTTGGAGAGTTAGGACTGAAAACCTAATCCAGGAAGTGATAAAGTATTACACTATTTAATACTTGTTATATATAAATCAGTTGTAAAGTTGGGCAAGACCTTGTGAAGGGCAATTTGAAGTGAAGTTCCCTATGTACCTGAGATATGCTAGGAAGACTTAACATAGGAAAAGGCTTGATTTTACCAGTTGTCTGTTCTTTGAAGGAGAATGTTGTTCACATTGATAGATTCCAGAAAGCTAGAAATCAACAAGGACTAACACATGGCCAAAAGGCAGGTAGGAAGTGAGAGAAGAGACTAGTAAAGGTGGCTGCACACACGTTCCAGCCTAAGAAGATTATTTGGTAAAGGTAGCTCTACAATGTGAATTTTAGCTTGGATTATGTCTTTTTTTTTTTTTTTTTTTCCTTTTCCTAGCATCCTTTGAATTGAAAATTTCTACTTTTCTCACTAGGGCCTATTAAAGAAAAAAAAAAGAATTGGCCTTGGGCCAATTTCATTCATTACTTACAACCTCCTTGACATGTACATATTCTTAAAACCTCTCTGCCCTTTCTCCCATTCCGCCATTGACAAACTAGGCAGTGAGATGCTAGGAGTGGTGGTTGTTGTTCATTAACATTTTATTTTACCTACTATTTAATAACACATTTTGAGATTAAAAATCTATGTGTACTGTTCTGAAGTGAATTTTTGTTGTATTTTTGGCCTGGAGAAAATGAAACATGACATAGGATAAAGTGGTAGAAGTAATAGACAAGAAGACAACTTTAAGAAAATGTCAGAGTCTGACAAAATTGTAGTCCCTTTGTGAGAACTTCTTCTAGAAGCTTTTCTCTATTCATGTGCTGGAGTGGTGCAGGATGTGTTTATTTACAAAAAGGCCAGTCCATTCACACAAATTTAACTTTTGTTTCAACAAGAATAAAGTAAGTACCCTTGAATCCAGCAACATCGATAGATTAATATTTGTCTTGTGAGCCCCCAAATGCCTACCACACAGCTGTAAGTGCTTAACTGGCTCTCCAACATTAATTCGTTGGCTGACTGAGATCATGCATGAGTGTAGTACAGCCTGTTCATGGAAGAGAGGGGTGTAGAATTCTTATGACACTGGTGTGAAATATGTAGGATCTAAAGAGTTAATGCATACCGCAGTGGACAGTGTGACCAAAACATGGCAGCACAGAAATGCAGGTAGGAGTGAGTCACTAAGTATTTCAGCTGGTGACCCTCAGAAGAGAAGAAACTGGAAAACAAAGACCAGAGCCAAACACTTATTTTCTCCCTAGGAAATAAGAGTGTCTTCCCTCTTGGGGAAGGAGGCCATTTGGAAGAATACAAGGTTCAGAGTTCAGGAGTCTAGGCCAAGAAGTCAGATGGTGAGGAAGCCAGGAACGGGTGAACTAATAACACAGATGCTGGAGAGCTGGGACAGGGTTGAGATAATACTGGAAAAAGTCAGACTACTGGGAATTTGGCAAAGATAGAGGATCAAAGTTGAATAACGAGAAGCAAGGATAAAGCCAGAAGCCAATAGAGAGTAAACAATGTCATATGGCTGAGGGAAGTAATTTCATTTGTGAAATCTCAACTATAAACACAAAGTTGTTAGTGACTAATATGTTTTGAAACAACAACTTAGTAATTTTCCTATTTTCCAAGGTGGTCATAGTTTCCTAAAGACTAGCTGTAGGTTAGGCTTGACAAGTCCCCTAAGAACTTCCCCAGCTAATGATAGAAAATTATTTGTTCACCTCCTGATCCCCACTTATTTTGTGTTTATTTTGACTATGTCTCTGCTCCTACTCCTGATACCAATATTACTCTCAATGAGCCCAACCTAGTGGGGAAGTCTGTAAAGCATACAATTATTTTAGCTTCTGTGTCAAAAACATAGATTCATAATGTCTTAAAAAGCCTAAGGCCTTTTTTCCCCCTAAAATGATGGCTCTGAAATTATCCGTTATAATTTTATGCCACTACTAGGGGCCCAAATAGTCTGAAACCTTCAAAGATCATTACTTGATATGCATAGCATGTATTTAAAAATGTTTAATACAGATAAGATCACTCATTCTAAGACAAAATCTGTGGAAATACAAAACATAGTTCACCAAATAGGATGGCAAAGAATTTTAGTTTATATGTTTTTAATTAATCAAGCAATAGTTATTGTTTATAAGTGACGCATGTTGAAAGTATCACATTAACTTGCTCTTTTCACTATCAGTCATATTGATGAGCTTGTAAGGCTTGGGCTTTGCCTTCAGTTGCCTGTGTGGAGCAGTGTCTAAATGCAATTTTTTAGTCCAGTTGGTGATTGTTCAGGCATCAAAGATAGCAACTGATCACATTAAAACAAAACAGAGCCAAGTTACTTCTACATTAATGGCAAAAAATGCCAGAGCAGATATATAAGATCTAAAAATTAAATACCAAGCAGATAAAAATACTACATGAAATTAATAAAATGAGGAATTTTAGATAATCCTTGAACCTTATAGCACTCGATATCAATTAATAACAAAAAAGTTACAATGTAAGGAAGGAATGATATTAAAAACCATGATTCTCCTTTAGAAAAACTAATATCAAAACCAGTGTGACACTCCACTTTTAAATTAACATTTTAATATCTGAGTAAACAGAGGAGGAGAATATTTGTACCCCTGAGTCAGAGAGATGCGAGGGAAAAGAAATGTGTTTCCTAAAATCAGTTCTCTGTGATAGTTGGAATTTACAGAGCCAGGAGGGCTCTGGCTGTGCTGTTGCTATTTTGAGCTTTTGGAAATTCTGCCACTAATACTTCATACATCTGAGTCCTCTGTGCCTCACATCTTCCTCCTTTTGACTTTGCTTAGCAATCACTGTGTGTGTGTGTGTGTGTGTGTGTGTGTGTATACGTATATATATATACACACATATATACGTATATATATACACACATACACACACACACACACACACATATATATATATATATATATATATATACACACACACATACATATATAACTTTTTCTTTATAAGGAGAGAAGCCAGGATGTGAAAAGGATCATTGAAAGCATTTGCTCTGGTTCAACCTGCTTGGGGAACCTTGACATTTAGAAAGAATCATGCTTCATTACTCACCAAGAAAGATCTTCCCAGTAGTGTTTCTGTTCTGTCAGCCATTCTCTAATATTTCCATTTACCTGCTCAGCAAAGGGAAGGCTTAGGAAGCCAGTCTCTCTGACAAAGTGCTTCTTTCATCACCTAGATCAAGGGTGCAGGAGCTCTGAACACACCTCACCCAATGGCTCACCAATGAGTGTACTTTGTTCATTCCTTTCTAAATGGAGCAGTTGACCAGGCTGAGGAAAATAATAGAACATAGGAGGCAGTCCAAAATTATAAATTAAAAATATGTTTATAAGAGTGGGATTTCAGTTTTCTCCCAGGCCTACAAGTTAGAATACTAATAAAATGAGATAGTTCCCTTCACCCCTTTGTGGGACTTGCAAAGGGGTTGCCTCATTTACTCAGGCCATAGCTCTCAACCCCTCATGGGAGGGGGAGCACACAGGTGGGGGGGTGCAGGAGCCAGGATGAGTGCTTCTGGGCACTGGCAGGAGTAGAACTCTGTGTGGCCCCACGGCAGCATCTAGGGGGGTATCCATGACCCCTGAAGCCCCAGAGGGCATGTGTTACAGTGTACTCTTTTAGCTTTGCTGTCCATGGATGGCTTAAGTGTTTAACAGCTCAGTGGAGGGTCAGGGTGACAATCTGTTGCAGCTGCCCTCTTGGTACCCAAGTTCTTGTCCAGCATCTAGGAAGAATCAGGTTGCATGAATGAATGGAGGGGTGATGAATGTGGAGGATTTTATTGAGCCGTAGAAGTGGCTCTCAGTGGGATGGGGAGCTAGAAAGGGGATGAAGTGGGGAGGTGGTCTTCCCCTGGAGTTTGGCCATCGCTAGCCAAACTATTCTCCGAAGTCCCACCATCAAGCCGTCCCTCTGAAGTCAAGCTGCTTCTCTCTGACGTCGAGCTGCTTCTCTTCTCTCCCTCTCTGCTGCTCTGCTCTGCCACTCAGCTGCTCTGCTTCTCTGCCACCCCTCTGCCAGTGGAGCCTGGGGTGTTTATGGGTATGAGGGGGTGGGAGTGGAGGGGTGCCAAAAAGCAACATTTGAACAGGAAAATAATAATGTATGTTCTCACTTTGGGCCACATTCCCAGGCTTGAGAGTGTGGCCCTCACTGGAGACGGCCCTCTTCTACCCAGTACTTCCATGCCTCCTGTCCACATCACTAATATTTTGGGGATTTATTCAGAATGCACAGATAGGAGACCTTCTTTAACCATTACAGGTTAATACAAATGCTCTCTTGGCAGGTTTAGGTGAGAGAAATGCCCTATTTTCTGCTGTCTTGGAGATCTCAAGATCATCACTGAGACTTCAGGATAAACAGGAAAGGGGTTACTCTAGCATGAAAGCTTATATTTACATTCCTGATCACTCACTGAGAACCTTAGTAAATATGATTTAACATGTAATATTTACCTGAATATTTCTCCACCTACAGGAGATTAGAAGTAGCAAGCTATGTGAGAAAAGGGAAAGGAAGGAGGGATAAGCAGATTTGAGAAAGTTTGAGAAATCCTGTTAAGGAAGATAAAAAGCAAAAGGCACATAAGCTCAGGGCCTTATTTTATTGCTGTGCCTAAAAAAATAAAATCTATACTGAATAGTATTGCTGTACCAGATAGTAATTTATGTTTGTAATATTATAAACATAGGCATCAAAGGGAAAAAAAACCTGTATTTTCCTTCTCTTTTTTTCTTTTTTTGAGGAGTTTTGCTCTTGTTGCCCAGGTTGGAGTCCAATGGCAGGATCTTGGCTCACTACAACTTCCGCCTCCCGGGTTCAAGCAATTCTCCTGCCTCAGCCTCCTAAGTAGCTGGGATTACAGGCACTTGCCACCATGCCCAGATAATTTTTGTATTTTTAGTTGAGGCGGGGTTTCACCATGTTGGCCAGGCTGGTCTCGAACTCCTGACCTCAGCCTGATCCACCTGTTGACCAGCCTGTTGACCAGGCTGATCCACCTGCCTCAGCCTCCCAAAGTGCTGGGATTACAGGTGTGAACCACTGTGCCCTTCCCGAAGTTACTTCTTAATACACTGCAACTTTGAGTTGAGCAGATCAGTTTTGTGTAGAACAAAAACCCATCTAAGTTCTAGTCTAATACTGTCTCTCTACGGAAGAATCCTGGCTAATTCTTTCAACTGACATTTCCAGTCAAACATTTCTTCATCTGACACCAAATATGTGTAGACATCCTAAAAATAGCCCCCAAAGACATATATAACATTATCGAGGAAAGGGAAAATAAAAAGATAGCTAAAAAGACAGATTTTAGAAAAGCCTTAAAAAATTAAAGGATGAGAGAGAAAAAAGCAAAAACCACTTCAAAAGAGAAATAGAAAGATGAAGACACTGTGTATCTGGAGATTCTGTGGCATGATCATGTTGTTAGGTTATTCCTTGGGATCCCACTGATTCTTTTTTCTCAGGGGGCGGGAGACAGACTAGCTATATGTATCTGATAAATGAAGATGGATAGGTCTTAGCGATAGCAAAGATCAATGGGAGAACCAGCTACCCTTGTGAGTTACTGTGACCACAAAATATTACAGGAGGCTCTTAAGAATGAGGGTTTGGCCCCACGTAGAAGGCAAGAACTTAAAACTTTAAAATAGCCAGGAAAAAACTTCCCCCAAATCACTTAAAATGTCAGAAAGAGAACATAACAAGGAGTAAAGTGAGACTAATTCAGTGAAATCAGAATAACTTCACAATCATGAATGATGCAGGTTGGATCTGAATGATAGGCACATATTTTCTCTCCAAAGTCAGCAAAGAGTTGAAACTTGTAAAATAAAGGGAACTTTACTTGACAAGAAAAAATTGAAACAAAGGCAAGGGATTTGTAAACAGGTTCAAATGACTGGGTTCTGCAGACAGTCAAGAAGGTAGAAGGGTATTTATACAACTAAGTGGATTCAGAATCCCAATTCAACAATGGAGAATTGATGTAGGTATTAGGTATTAAGGATATTTTGGATAGTTGCAAATGAGGACAAAAGGGTTGTGAGAAGAAAAGAGTTCAAACAATCTAAAATTATCATAGATGGAGGAGAAGGGCAGATGTCAGAAATTGTGAGATAAGCCGATTGATAGAGAAAGCTCACTTTTAAAAATATTAAGATGGGTCTCTTGCTTGGGAATTCAAGTATGAAGAGATGTTATTAAAAGAAATCAGCTCTAGAGGGGAATAAGAAATTTGGGGGGGAGGGGGCAGGCGGAGAAAAGCTCTCTTGTCTCATTAATCCTAAATGTCTGTTCTGATTGCCTGAATGACAAAAAGTTGGTCTGGTCTGGAAGACATTATCGTTTTCCAGCTCTGTTCTCAACTCCTTCTGAAAACAATTTTCTTTCTATATAGCTATTAACACATCTCCTCTCTTTAGGAATAAAAATGAGACACAGTGCAGATGTTCAAGGTATTAGGCCCTTCCAGGAACATGAGGGAGAGGAAGACAGGGACCTCTCCTCTGAAAGATGCTGACCAGTGTAAAAGAGTGGCATACCTGGAGGTGCATAATTTGCTTATGAAACAAGGATGTTACATCCCTGTGATGTTTATGGCAAAAGTCTTTTTTTACTGGGACCAGGAAGGCTCTGACAACTGACTGTTTAAGCATCACAGCCATTTATATTTCCCCTTTTGGTATGCTGGCAGTCACAGCTTCCAGCCTGCTGAGGCTCTGAATTGCATTCGATGGAGTGGTCGTGTCACTGTAAGACACGCTAATCTGTTGCTAGTAAACATTTGAGCTGGAGGTTATGCTGGCTTTTATCATGATGGATGATAAAATAAAAGCAACCATCTAGTGAAATAGCAATATATTTGAGAGGGGGAAAAATGCAACTTGGAGTGATTTTGACTGCAGGAATAAACATTTCAGGCATGATAAAATTTTAATATGGTAATGTTGACAGATAAAAGAATGTTAGAGAACTCAAGATAATTAAGTTATAAGAATGTCATCTGATCTGTATTTCAAAATTCCCAGGCCCTTTGCTCAGCTGTCTGCATCCACTGTCCAAAGGGCAGTCATTCAACTATCTGTCAGGGCTCATCCTAAAAAGACACTGAGAAAATTTAAAACATGAGCAGAGGATTTGTGCTGCACTCTGTGTTTTAGGTAGATTAGCCAGGGAAAGGGGTTGCTGATTTAACACATTCTCTGAGATTCTAACAGCATCTTCTTGATCTTAGGGGTCACATTAGCTGGTTCTGAAATTTACCTAACAAGAAAGCATATTTTCTTCTCCAAAATATTTCGAACCAGCAGGCCCACAGACTCATTGATCCATGAACACTGTTGCTTCAGGGAGAGTCCTTAAAGTCTTGTTAAATTTGCATAACCTTCTCTAAAGCTGTCTCTGGACCATACCCCCTTGAATTATGATCAGTGGGACACTGTAGTTGCTTTGCCAAAGTATAGTAAACACACCTCAAAATCAACCCTGTCCTGCAAACCTGCTCATTGCCTTTTATTCATACTGGAGTGTCTTTACAGTGTTCCCCCAGGGTTTTTCCAAAAAGAATCCTCAGTCCTTCAGGCAAACAGATACATGAGATGTAGTCTTTACTAGTCTCCTGGACATGCAGAGACACAACCTAAATCACAGGGTAAACAACACAGTTTAGCCTCCAGCTGGAGCTTTTGAACTTTTATATATTAATTATATGGCATTAAATACATCACTACTTAAAGCCTTGGCCTCAATAAAAATAGGCTATGGTCCAGCTTTGGTTAGGCTGTAACTCCCAGGGACTGCAATTATCTTCCAGAAAGATGGTAATCTCTCAAAGAATTTAAACATTATTTTTAATTTAATTGACTTTTAAAGTAAATATATATTATATACCAATTAAAGAGAAAATAGGACTCATTTCAAAACAAAGTTCCCCTTTACCCAAGTGACTGACATTTAATGCATACAACAACCCAGGCACCAGATTGAGACTGTTGTCACATAACCCTCACAACAACCAAGGTAGGCTCTGTTGTTATTTTGATACTAAATATGAGCAAACTGAGACTCAACATGGTTAAGCAAATTTCCCAAGGTCACGGTTGTTCTTGTAGAATACTAGAAATTCCAAAAAAGAAAAAGAAGAAAAATGGAATTCACCTGATATCACACCTCCTAAACTCAACCAATATGAACATTGTGATGCGTTTATTTATCTACATATGTAGATTTATAGGACAACTTGTTATATTATCTGCCTTCCACTCAATAATATAGTTGAATGATTCGCATCATTTTTAATCACATCATTTTAAGTCATGTACTTAAGGTAGCCTATTTTGGACATTTAGGTTACTCGTGGAATTTTTAAGGCTCAAAAGAGGAGGAGCCTGTCTGCCAAAACCTGGGATGTACTTGAAAATATGTGGTTTTGACAGATGGATTCTCTGTCTAGCTTGATGTGAGAACCTGGTTAAGTCACTTAACCTTTTAAAACCTATTCCTTCATCTGTAAAATGAGATTGTCATTTACCCTTCCCAATTGTCAAAAGAATTAGATGTAATCCAAGCAAAGTTCCTCATTGGGTACTGGACATAGAACATGTGTTCACCAAGTAACACTGTGTGCATCCCCACTGACCTTACTTCTCTAGGCCTGTATTTTTATGTAAAAGAGAGTTTTGTTAGCTGATCACTAAGGAATAATTAGTTGCTTATTGCATATCTAAGACTGTGATTTTAAGATTCTGTTCAGAGATTTTAGAAAATCTTCGAATCCGGTCTCATGGTATCGAAGTAAAACTTGGAAAGATTTACTTGTGTCTGCACAGGTAGAACTAGTTCAGATGCTCTCTAGTCATGTCCTCACTGATACCCCATTATCTCTTGTGACTGTGTTTAGGAATCAGCAGTGAACCATTGACCACTTCATAGAAGTAGCCTGTTGTATTGGTCTCAGCATCTGCAGAGCTATGGTGCATTAGAGTATATACCACAGGTCATGTGGTACTTATAATAGTTAAAGAAACAACATTTTAAAATTAATAGTAGCACAGTGGATTCGAGATTATACTTCTTTGTAAGATCTCCAATTGCCTTGTCTTTCATTGTGATCTTCTTCTTTAGTGAGAAAGAAAGGGACAGAATTGGCCAGGCGTGGTGGCTCATGCCTGTATTCCAAGCACTTTGGGAGGCCGAGGTGGGTGGATAATTTGAGGTCAGGAGTTCAAGACCAGCCTGGTCAACATGGTGAAACCCCGTCTCAACTAAAAATACAAAAATTAGCTGGGCAGTAGTGGCACGTGCCTGTAATCCCAGCTACTAGGGAGGCTCAGGCAGGAGAATCGCTTGAACCCAGGAGGCAGAGGTTGCTGTGAGCCAAGATCATGCCGCTGTACTCCAGTCTGGACAACAGAGTGAGACCCTGTCCAAAAAAAAAAAGAAAGAAAGGGATGGAGTTAAAAAGCGTACTGGAGTTACAGCTGCTCAGCCAAGACTTTACTTCACTCTGGATATCCCACATGGGGTAGTGTTTGACATGTCAAATTCATCTCCCACTTGGGACAGCAAAGGGAAAAATAGAAAACCAGTAGGTAACAGCACTGCACTTAAGTGAAATAGCTTTATTCTGTTCCGTGACTAGAGACCTCACCAATCCAAGCAATTCTAGCATCCTCCTGAGAGCCCAAAGCATCTATGTAGAGATTAGAAACAGACTACCATAAATCTGTCACCCATAAAGGAGAGCCCTGGCTTATCACAGTGCTTTATTCCTAGATGAAGGCCAGCATATTTATATCTGTATTTCTGAGCTCAAGATGTATTTAGCTGCTTGGCATCTTACTAAATTTTAATAAAACATTTGCATTTGCACATGTGCTAGCATTTTGACTAGAAAATAGTGCAAACCTCAAATAGTTGAATGAGCCATAGGAGAAAAATCACAGGTTTCAGACAGCTGCAAGATGGTAAAGATGAGGAAGTTAAATAAGTGGGTGTGTTTATTCTTGCAAATGTGTGATCTTTCTGGTACAAAAGTTCGAGAATGAAAAAAGATCAAAATACCAGTACTGCCATGTGCAGACCAGCATTCTTTATTGTTAAAGGGACTTGTGGATGACAGGGAAAAGGAGGGCTTTCTGTAGGCCTTTGATCGGGTAGCAGCTGATGGGAGTTTAGAAGGATGCAGGCTGCAGTGGAGGAGAGTCGGTACACCCTGACTCACACCTGCAGTTTGTTTCATGTGACCCTGGAAGAAAGTTCAGCACAATTTAATGAAATCACGTTCCATGGCAGAAGAGTGTGTTTGCAAGTCTGATGAAAATCTGATGGGCATTCTGCCTGGGAACAATGTAAGGAAATAAACAAATGTTTTCCACTATGATTATCAAATCAACAAAACTCTGACTTTGGTTAACAGAGAAGGAATCCAAAGAATATTGACACGATTGGTAAATTGTAGAAAATTGCATTAAATCAATCATCTTTCAAGAAAAATTCCCCGGGATAACACCGACTCTCTTTCAATGAACAAAAGAAAGCTATCCTGAAAGCTATATTGTCCTTGTGTAATATGAGTTTCTTTTTTTTAATAGGAGCTTCTGTGTTTCGTTAAGTCTAAATATAATTCATGCCTTTTGGTTCCCCGCCTCCACCACTAAATTTTTTTAGCAGGTTTGACTCTAGGAAAAATTGTGAATAGATAAAATTCTGTTTACAGCTCTTCTCTGTCATCATTCTATTTTCCAGTACCATTTACATATTCCTGTGTTTACCATAGATTTCCTGAATAGCTTTTATGTTGCACTGGGAATACACAAAAATGTTTAACATTTGGTTCATGTCCTCAAAAAGTATATAATATTATCTCTTTGGAAATTACTCCTCTTCTTGAAATACCCATCTTAGATTTTTTTTTCTCTCAGACTACTACATGCTTCTCACTAAAGTACCTCTTGAATTACATGAGAAAACACTGATGAATGATAATGGAACATCAGCACGTCATCATCTGAGTGCATATTGAGAGCTAGTAGGTGCTCAGTAAATATCTGTCTTATCTCCCTTGATAGTTGTCAACCTATGGCATGGCCCATTTTTACTGTATCCAAAGGAACGAAACTATTAACATGGAATGGCAAATGATGAGGAAAACATTTTAAAGGGGGCAACAGTCCCTAAATTAAATGCCATCAGTGCTTCTCCCAGGTCCTTTCTCCTCCAGTGTACCACCCTCCAGCTGCACTGTCTGGCTGCTGGGCTGCAACTACCCCTCTTTTCCACTTTTCCAGAGAATTGTCCTCAGCTCAAATCTGACTGTCACAGGGGTACAAAAGCCCAGCCCCCTTGCCTCAAAGTAGGACAAATTCGGTCCTCTCCAGCTTTCTGTGGGACCAGATTAAAGCTGGAGTCCTCCTGAGGTTCCATCCTTGCTTGGTTTCTTCCCCTGCCCAAGCTGACTTTCCTTCCTCCCTTTCTCCTGGCAGCACTGCTTCAATAAGTCACATACATCTGAATCCCTATCTCAGGCTCTGCTTCTAGGGAATCCAACCCAAGACATCTCAAATAATCATAGGGAGCCAATAACCTACAGGATATGCATGTTCTTCTTGCTTAAAAATAAGTGAAAACAGGTTGGGCGCAGTGGCTCATGCCTGTAATCCCAGCACTTTGGGAGGCCCAGGTGGGAGGATCACCTGAGGTCAGGAGTTTGAGACCAGCCTGGCCAACATGATGAAACCCCATCTCTACTAAAAATACAAAAATTAGCCAGGCCTGGTGGCAGGCACCTGTAATCCCAGCTACTCAGGAGGCTGAGGCAGGAGAATCACTTGAACCCAGGAGGCAGTGTCTGCAGTGAGCCGAGATCATGCCACTGCACTCCAGCCTGGGTGACAGAACAATACTCCATCTCAAAAAAAAAAAAAAAAAAAAAATGCAAAAACAAAAATAACAGCATGTAAGTCTTGAGAAAGATTATCAAACTGTTTAATAAATCTAAGATACACAAGTAAAAAAAAATTTACATGGTAATAAAAATGCCAATTTCATAATAAGGGTAAGGCTCTGTCTAGTCATTTCATGTCTAAATAAATAATAGAAAGAATCTTTTATATTAGCAATATTACAAAATTATTTTTGTCACATATCCTGTGAGAAATAATAAATAAGCCAAGACTTCTTGGACAAATAAATGAAGTAACAAAACCATAACAGTGATAATATAAACCTTTGCCCATTAAATATTTTGAGGTGGTTTTACTCATTATGTAAACTGAAACTGAAAATCAGGCAATGTTTATTGGTCTTATTGGTCTTCTGTCATATTACCTCATCATCGTTAACTTTACAGTGTTTTAAAATTTTTAAATGTTAAAATGCATTATTTCCATTGAGTCTCAAAGATTTTTTTTTTTTCCCCCACAGAAGGGGTTATTAACCCTGCCTCAGATTCTAGCAACTCTGCTTGACCATTACAAGGGAAGCTTTTAAGAGATATAAGGGCCTAGATTCCATGCCAACCTATTTAAACCATGCCTGGGAGAAGGGTGAGACCTGTGTAATCATGTTTTAAAGCTTCTAGATGTTTCTAAGGTGTCACTAGGTTGAGAAACACCAGATTAAGCAACATGGCCAAATTTTTCCAGCTGCTGAGTCCTAGAGCAACATCTGAATCCAGAATTTCTCAGCCACATTGGACTTCCTTCCTTCCATTTCACCAGAAGTTCTGAATTTTAATTGGTGTTTAGAGGGAAAAATGTGAATGTGGACCGTGCATTCCACTGGAAGACAAAATATATCACATATATTTTGAGATATATCAATAAATAAAACAGATTTGGCTTTGAATGAGTTTTCACAGTTTTTGGGTGGGTAAACCATTTAGGTATGTGTAAGGAAAATTTCTTTTTCAAGTATAAATGCATTTAGAAGTGACCAAGTTTTTGGCAAAGGATAATCAAAGTTTGGCTGTTCCCCCAGTGTTTGTAAAACACAGTAGTTGAGTTTATTTAGCCTAAAAAAAGTCCCCATCAATATAATCCACAAAAATAGACTGAATTTTCAGAACAAGAAAACAGGGAAGAATATCTAGTAATTGACAACGATTTTATCTCATTCATATAGTCACAAATTAGAATTTGATCTTTTATTCCTGTGAAATAATACTTTCTCATATTTATATTTATATCAAGCTTAGTTTGTAGAGACATTTTCACTGATCACTGAGAAGTTAATGGTGAGAATATCAGTGTGGAAAATCAATGCTTTTTTTTTTCGATATGGAGTTTTGCTCTTGTTGCCCAGGCTGGAGTGCAATGGCTTGATCTCGGCTCACTGCAACCTCCGCCTCCCAGGTTCAAGCGATTCTCCTGCCTTAGCCTCCTGAGTAGCTGGGAATACAGGCACCCACCACCACACCCAGCTAATTTTTTGTATTTTTAGCAGAGATGGGGTTTCGTCATGTTGGTCAGTCTGGTCTCGAACTCCTGACCTCAGGTGATCCACCCACCTCTGCCTCTCAAAGTGCTGGGATTACAGGCGTAAGCAACTGCACACAGCATTGAAAAAGAATGCTTTTAAAGCTAGGTGTGGAATTGAGTGTGGTCTACCAGCCACAGTGAATGTATATGCTGGTTAGAAAAAGAGAGAAGGGGAAGGTGTTCAATTGAGCTCTTGAGGCCTAAGAGTACACTGAACTTCAATGTCTTATTTACCTCCTGCCAGGCTGGTTCCTTGCTAGAAGTAGAATTCTTCTCTGTTCTTGCACATGCTTGAATGGAGTGCTGAACCCCAGCCAATACCTACTAGTCCCCAGTGCTTAAGATCAGAATTTCTTAAATATTTTTATGCTGTGAGCTCCTTGGCAGTCTGGTGAAGACTGTGGATTCCTTCTCAGGATATACTTATCACCAGGTTCTTTAGGATTGTAAAGGAAACCGATTATGTTGAGAAACAGTTCTAACTCAAGGTCCTCACCACAAAAAAAAAAATCATCCAGGAAATATAACCATGATGTTCATTGCATTGGAAACCACCAAAATCTAGAAGTCCTTTCTTAGGTTTATGATGCTCTGAACTCATAATTTGAATTGCTGTGGCCTCAAAGAGGGAAAGCAGCCCACACTTTGGCTCAGATATTTCCTATTCCCAACTTTCTGGTTTTGGCAGCATTTCCTTTACTGTACCAGAGAACTGCAGATTCCAAGCCTATCCCCAGTGCTGGGGCCATGTGGCTTTTGATGCAGCTGGCCATATGGAGGCAGGATTGGATAATGTTGTGATTTGCATTCCAATGAATTGATCGAATTAGAGAATTGCTTCAAAGATTTGCCTGTGTAATGGATTCTTAAGAGGAATTCTAGAGTCGTTCTTTGAAAAAAAGCTTTAGATTTGAAATAGAACTTAATATTTCACGTTTCCTTTTCCTTATGGATATGCATATTATTGTTTGGTGACCTCCATGACTATTGAAGGTATCATACAACTGACTTAGGCAGAAAGGCACACGGTGGTTTTTGATTAGACTGCTAGGTCCCCACGATTTAGATCCTTATTTGGGATCATGGATTTATATTAGACTGTATATTTGTTTATTTCATTATGTATTTTGCCCCAAAATTGTTCTCAATGGGTCTTAAAAACTGTGAAGTAGATTTCTTGAATCATCTTGGAAAAGAATGGGAAAAGAGGAAAGTATTTTTTAAAAATATTTTTTAGGGTAGAAAGTATAATTTTATCTCCTCATTGAATTCACTGAGTATGCTGTAGTCCCCTATTGTGTTTGTAACATTACTGCATCACTTATTCGCTCTTTCTCAAAACATTTATTGAGTAAAGACTTTTTCCCAGAGGCTGAAATAGCCACGATCTTTTAGAAGATAAGTCTCAAGTCTGTAAAACATTTAAGGAAGGAACTTCTTAAATTATTTGCCTCCTCATCATTTCCTGTAAGTTCTCCCAGCCACTGAGGTGAAAATTACCAGAATCATGCTGTTAAAACTCACCTTGGACTAAATAATTTAAGATAAAATAACATTTTGGTAATGGAAAAGTCATGTATCATTTCTTGTTCACAGCAATTTTTAGATCTTCATGTTCACATGAAGAAATTTTAGACGATTAAAGAATTCAACAAAAGCCTGTATTTTACCTTTGTTAGTGTAAATTAAGCTTATCTTCAGTAAGTTTATGATTTATTTCTATTATAATTTCTTCTGCTTTGTAAGTTTCTCTTTGATGGGAGTCATGCCTCTCAGAAAAAGAAAAAGGCATAGCTGGCCAAACCTATACTGCCCATATTTTGACTTTAAGTGTATATTAGGATAAAGTTTAAACTGCTGTAACAAAGAGATTTCAAATGCCACAGCTTAAATGACAGACGTTTACATCTCTTCAATGCAACAGTATATGTGATCCAGGAATGTGGGATACCTTCACATCAAAAGGCTTTCCAGGAACCCGGACTAGCGTGGCAACTCTGCTGTCCTTAGCACATGGCTTCCAAGTATGGTGTGATGGTCACCATAGCCTGGAGGTACAGGCGAGAGAGCTAGATGGAGTACAAGTAGCGTGCTTTAAGGACAAGACCTGAAGGGGCACTCACTTCTGCTCATATCCCATTGGCAGGCACACTGTCACGTGGCCGTGCCAAGCCACCCAGGTAAAACTCCTTTAATAAGGAAAACAGGGAGAATGAATGGATTTGAGAGACAGCTAGTAGTCTACCACCAGCATTTCTGTTTCATATTCTATTTTCTATTTACAGAAAGATGCATGAGTAGCTTTTATCATATACAGTAGATCATCCTGGCAATAAGTCACAACCTTTCCATTTGCTGGGTTTAATTGAAGTATTATATGTAAATTATAGTTTTTAGTCTTTAGACTTAAAAAATCTATTATGACAATTTATATACAAACTATAGGGAGAAGTTTAGACTTTAATTTTTGCCATCTGTTCAGAAATGTGCCTACATTTGCAAATTTTCATATTCAAAAACTATACAGAGGTGTGAGCGGATTGGGCCCCTGGAATTACATGTATTACATGTTTTAGATTATTGAAATATACCAACCACCACTACAGTTAAGTGTTTGTGGTCTAGTGTTGGGGTTTGAAACATACATTATTGACTCTATACCTTTCAAAGCAGGCACAATTCATCCAGTTTTGCAGATCAAGACACGTAGGTACAGAGAGTTTAGATAACTTGGCCAATTTCCTAAGTGGTAAAGTAGGGATTTGAAACCAACTCTGTCTGTTTCTGAAGCATTTTCTATTTATTGCCTCATTTAATCCCCATAACAATCCTTTAAACTAGGTGGGTGGCTGGTCTTTGTTTCAGTTAATAGAATATGAAAGTAAAGATAGAAAGTTCAAGTGACTTGCCAAAGAAACACAGTAAGTAACAAACTGAGAGTTTCCGAGTCTAAAAATCTGTGCTTTTTGAATTCAATTGTTGAATTAAAGTTGCCCTGCATTTACAATCAACAAACTTGGTTCAATCAACAGAATGAGCATCGTCTTCTATTTGAGCGATCTTGAGTAAGCTACTTAATTTTCCAATATTCCAAAAATGATAATAGGCATGTCCAGGTGCTATTGTAATACTTAAATAAAATTAATTTATGTAAAGTGTATGCAACAAACTTGATCAGAGTAGGTGTTCACTTAATAATTTTGAGCCCCTTCTCTTTGAATCTGAATAGATGTGGCTTTAGAGAACTACATTTGCATCTACATTTAGAAATAGAAACAGAGAATAGAAAATGGAGGTCTCCAAAGGAATAATATTAATTAAATAGTGCTACTAAATTATAAAGATTAAGGGTATTGGAGAAGTCAATTTGAAGCCAAACACAAGCAGATATTTTTTCACATACTGAATTCAGTATGTGCAAAATATAATTGTCATTTACTTGTACCTCAAGGAGAAAGCTGAGAATAAATAAGTGTGCTTGTTTCTCCCAAAGAGCCATCCAACGTCACATGCTAACATAATTGGTCTTTTGGCCCCTTTGCGATTATTCCCCATGTTTAATAACACTCAAAGATTTATGAAATTCCCTCTCTAAATTGTCTTTATTCATTAATGCTAATAGTATACTAGATTTCTTTCTATTTGTCTCTGGATTTCTTTTCTTTATACTGTTGAGTGCTATGATTTCAGGAGAAGTTCACTCTGTCATACCACTTGAGTGATAAAGCTAATAATAATGATTAGTTGTCATAGTAATAACTTGTTTAGCAGTTTTCTAGGTATATTTTGTCTAATTCTTTTTATTTTTATAACAACCCTATTATAGAACCCATAGGTAGATATTTTTATCCGCATCTTGCATATGGAAAGAATGAAGCACAGAGAGATTAAGAAACTTGTCCATGGTCTCACTGTTGTTAAGAGGTGGATTGGTTTCAAACCCGCAATATAGCACCAACCTAGGCTGGTAACCACTACTCATCATGCCTCTCTGCAAGCTAAAGTGGTCTTGCTTGTCAAACAGAAAAAAGACTCAATGCATTCAAGGAATGCCTTTTAAATGATCCTTTCTGGGAGAGGATTAATACAGCTATATTCTTTAAAAAAAAACTTATATTAGCAAATTAAATTGATACATTTGTAAAATTATTTAAGATGTCAAAAAAATCAGACAATTATTTACAAGTCTATATATGTTTAACTCTCTCTCTCTTTTATGATGCAACACAATTAAAATTAAACCTTATTTGATCATTGCCACGTTGTGACTGTCAAGAGTGGCATCTTCCATTTGTTGGAATAAGTGAGCCTGGTCTCACAATGCTGAGTCTGTGAATTTTTACAGTTTTAGAAAATAAATGTTAATAATTGCACAGGAAGTTCCTTGTAAGTGATTTGCTATAGAATAATTTTACTTTAATAATGCAAAAGTACAGAGTAAAAAAAAACTGCAACTCAAAATGTTTTTATTGCTCCACTTTCTTTTCTATCAAGGACATGGCTATAGAAATCATCTCAGTTTTTTAGTTGTCTGTTGATTTGCCTTAGGTTTTAAGGCCATTCCATCTTCTCTCGGCTGGGTAGCACATTGAGATCTCAGTCCACATGTGACTCAAAAGATTGATGTGGGATCCTGCAAGGAGTACCAAGATGGCCTTCCAAGTGATATATCCTCACAATCGAGATGAAAGATGGCCTTTCTTTCTCTACTACTTTGCCAAACACAGTTGCTGCCATTCTGTTGTAAACTAAGGCCTCCCAAATACAGACAAAACAACTATGCTTTTAGCTTTGGCTAAGTAGCTTTCTTAAAAGTCATTTTCACCCTTATAGAAAGGATAGTGGGAAGACTGGATGAAAATCTCCACCTCCATGTTAACTCATTTTTGCTCTCTGTGTCAGCTGGACTTGGAAAACAGTATCTTAGAGAATATGACTGCATGTTCCTCATGACTTCTATGCTTCAGAATTGCAGCAAATGTCAGTCTAAGGCAACTTAAAAAGTTTTTAGGTGCTATAAGACTATATCTTCTCGGGGGTTAATGCCTTCACTGGTTACAAATACATGAGAAAACTTTTTAATTGATATCATCATGTTCAGTATGTATATTGGCTTGAGAGGCAGGAGAATGCCAAAATAATTGTTTTAGGATATTAGTGTACATGTCTGCTTCTTTGCTTTGCCTTATTTGTCTTCATAGCACTTATTACCTGAAACTATGCGAGATAGTAACTTATTTGTTTTATTATCTATCTCATCCACTAGAAGGTAAGCTCCATGGGGGCAAGGATTCATTGGCTTTACTCAGGCTGTATTCTTATGGTCTATAACCCTGTTTGATGCATGGCAGACCTTGGATAGGATGTTTTTTTCTAGTAGTTTCATAGTTTGGGGTCTTCTGTTTAAGTCTTTTATCCATTTTGAGTGGATTTTTGCATATGGTGAGAGATAGGGGGTCTAGTTTCATCATTCTGCATAAGGCTACCTGGTTTTCCCAGCACCATTTATTGAAGAGGGTGTCCTTTCCCCGTGATATTGTTTGGCTGTGTCCCCAACCAAATCTCATCTTGAATTGTGACTCCCACAATTTCCACGTGTCATGGGAGGAACCCAGTGGGAGGTGATGGAATTACAGGGCCTGGTCTTTCCTGAGCTGTTCTCATAACAATGAATGAATCTCACGACATCTGATGGTTTCACAAATGAGAGTGTTCCCTGCACAAGCTGTCTTCTTCTGTCTGCCGCCATGTGAGACATGCCTTTCACCTTCCGCCATGATTGTGAGGCCTCCCCAGCCACATGGAACTGTAAGTCCAATAAATCGCTTTCTTTTGTAAATTGCCCAGTCTCAGGTAAGTATTTATCAGCAGTGTGAGAACAGACTGATACACCCCTAGATGGGTTTTTGGTGTCTTTGTCAAAAATCAGTTGTCTCTTTTTGTTTTTGTTGCCTGTGCTTTTGAAATCTTAGCCATAAAGTCTTTGCCTAGGCCACTGGGACTACATTAAAGTAAAAAGCTTCTGCACAACAAAGGAAACAATCAACAGAGTGAAGATATAACCCATAGAATGGGAGAAAATATTTGCAAGCTATTCATCCTACAAGGGACTAATATCCAGAATATACAAGGATCTCAAACAATTCAATAGCAAAAATCCCAAATGATTCAATTAGAAGTGGGCAAAGAAACTGAATAGACATTTTTAGATGTACAAATGGCCAACAAACTTATGAAAAAGTTCTCAATATCACTAATCAGAGAAATGCAAATCAAAACCACAATGAGATATTATTGCATCCCAAATTAGAACGGTTATTAACAAAAGACAATAAATAACAAATGATGGCAAGGATGTGGAGGAAAAGGGATTTTTATACACTCTTGGTAGGAATGTAAACTAGTACAGCCATTATAAAAAACAGTATGGACATTTCTCAAAAAACTAAAAAATGTAACTATCATATGATCCAGTCAATTCCTCTACTGGGTACTTATCCTAAGGAAAGAAAATAAGTATATCAAAGGAATACCTACCCCCATGTTTATTGTAGCACTATTCACAATAGTTCACATATGAAATCAACCCAGATGTCCGTTGATTGGTGAACGGAAAAAGAAAATATGGTATACATTCACAATGGAATATGACTCAGCCATAAAAAGAATGAAATCCTGCATTTGAGGCAACATGGATGAGCCTGGAGGAAATTATGTTAAGTTAAATAAGACAGGCACAGAAAGATAAATACCACATGTTCTCATGTATATGTGGGAGCTAAAAGACATTTTGAGTTCATAGAAGTAGAGAACAGAATTATAGGTATCATAGGCTGGGAAGGCTAAGAGAGAAGGGAGGATTAGGAGAGGTTAGTTAACAAATACAAAACTACAGCTAGGCAGGCGGAATGAGTTTTGGTGTTCTATAGCACTGTAGGGTGAATATGGTTAATTTTCCTATAACTTATTGTATAAACATGTGCCATGGTGGTTTGCTGCACCTATAATTTATTGTATGAAAATTAACCATATTCACCCTACAGTGCTACAGATATAGAATTTATTGTATATTTCCAAAAACTAGAAGAGAGGACTCTGAATGCTCACAACACAAAGAAATGGTAAATGTTTGAGGTGATGGATATGCTAATTACCCTGATTTGACCATTATACATTGTATATATGTATCAAAATAACACTCTCTATTCCACAAATATGTACAATGGTTGTGTTAAGTAAAAATAAAAGGGGAAAAAATAAGCCAATATCCCTTAGCAATAGACTATTTTAAGGAATCTTTTGTTTCAAAGCGGGCACTAAAGAGAAGTTGTAAATGTGAATAAATATAATTAACATTTTTTTTTGACACTTATCACATGTCAGACTCAGTTCCAAGTATTTTACAGGTTTTATCTCATTTAATCTTCCCCAAAACCCCATAAGGCAGGTGCTATTGTTATTATTAATCTCATTTTACAGGTGAAGAAAACAGAGGTGAAGAAACATGCCCAGTTCCATATTATGTACGTGACTCTCTGCAAGTTCAAAGGAGAGTTTACTTTTGAGTGATAATATCTAATTTCTCAGTCTTTAGCTCGTTCTCAGCATAATAAGGCCTCCAGTCATGTGACATTATATTTGAAACAATAAATCTTAACCTCTGGGCAACTTAACTGCCTTCTTATTAATAAAACATTAAATGTCATTTACATTTTAGAAAAGTAGGGAGAAATTAAAAACTTCTCAACATTTTATCCATTTTAACCAGACCCTGCAGTAAAAGTTCAAAACATGACACAAAGGAATTTTCCTTTCTGATTTCTCAAAATCGTTTGCTCTCAAGCTGACACCAAAAAATGAACTGTTTCTTCCAGTTTATAATGAAAAATTCATAGAAGCCATGGTTCTTCCTGTTACAAATGGCTTTGTGAAAATACTAATGCAGGAATCATGGTTCCTCATGGAAGCACCAGAGGAACTCTACAGATACACAAGGTATAGTTTCACTCCTTCCATATAAATCCATATTCATGTCTCTGCATGCTTAAAAGACCGAACTCAATTACAACATTTAACAAAATTGTATAAAACTTTGTTTGGCTCTTAGTTTGAATTGTTTCACCAGAGACTCCATAAGGTCGATATGATGAAGGTCTTCAGCTTGCACTATGGCTTATGGTCAATTAAAATCAGTGTGTTTTTATTAGCCTGGCTGAAAATGGCTTTCTGTTTATGAATTTACTTTGCAAAGGCTCAGAAATTATACCCCTGCTTTAAGTTGCCTCAGGGCGCAGATACACATAAAACTTCATTAATTAAAATAGTAAACGACTTAGGTCATAAATAAAGAACGGGTAGTTACACTGATTATAAAACATAGGCAGCTAGGAAATCAGGGGCTCCAAGCTAGGCTTTATTGGTCAGAAGGGAAGAACAATTTTTTTGTTAGAAATTTTGACTCCAGCTTCCCTCCAAAAAATTATTGGAGGACGTATGAAAAGATACGGAGAAATAGGAGTGCATTATATAAACAGAAGCCCAAGCCATTTTCACTGAATGGCTTGAACTTCTGTTTAATTTGAAGACAAACTTGGATTCATTTTTTTTTTTGAGATGAAGTTTCGCTCTTGTTGCCCAGGCTGGAGTGCAATGGTGCGATATTGGCTCACTGCAACCTCAGCCTCCCGGGTTCAAGAGATTCTCCTGCCTCAGCCTCCCAAGTAGCTGAGATTACAGGCACCCGCCACCACACTCAGCTAATTTTGTATTTTTAGTAGAGATGGGGTTCCTTCATGTTGATCAGGCTGGTCTCCAACTCCCGACCTCAGGTGATCCACCCGCCTCAGCCTCCCAAAGTGTTGGGATTACAGGCGTGAGCCACCACACCCACCCTCTTTTTCTTTTTTAACTTTAGTTCTGGGATACATGTGAAGAACGTATAGGTTTGTTACATAGGTATACATATGCCATGGTGGTTTGCTGCACCCATCAACTCATCACCCAGGTATTAAGTTCCATATGCATTCGCTATTTATCCTGATGCTCTCCCTCCCCTGTCCCTACCCCGACCCTGACAGGACCCAGTGTGTATTGTTTTCCTCCCTGTGAAACTCGGACTCTTGATCATTGGAGCAGTTACAGTTCCCTTATCTAGAACCTGCAAATCCCTGAATTGCAAAAGTTTCTGCATAATATGTGATACATAAGTCTCAGGCTTGGTGGAGGGGTCTGAACTGTAGGTAGAAACCTTGGAATTGATGGTATGTGGAACTGGCTAAGAGCAGGT